>NC_000010.11:16373636-16525151 GCF_000001405.40 Homo sapiens | reverse complement strand
TTTTTTATGTCTGATTCTCTAGACAGTCCTTGGGTTTGTTAATTTATTATTATTTTTTCCTGTTCTAAGAAATGCTATTTCTGCTTAAGTGCTGCTGGATTTGGAAATCATTTTCATGACTAAATATTTGTCTGCCTGGTGAGAGCCCAGCGTAGGGCTGTGCTGTCCGTAGATACTCAATACTGATTAATGGATGGCCGTGCATGTCTGTGTGGGAGTCGTGTGCTTAGGATCTGCTCAGCTCTCTGAAAGCAACAGAAATGGTGTGGGGAAGAAGAAAATCACAGGATTGTGATCCAACCATGATCACGGCTTTCTGGATTGGACTTCATCTTCTGGAGGGTCCACAAGGTCCAGGTACAGGTGCAATGGGAGTAGGGAGCCTGGTGTTTTCTTGAGAGATGGTTGGGAGATGCTGCAGAAATGAGAGTCCAGGGCCCACTTCCAAGATTCTTATCGAATATGAGAGAAAACTTGGTTCTCTAATGAGGACTGAAGAAAATCAAATATTTTTTTAATTGACACGTTTTCTATTATTATATATATGAAGATGATGAGTAATATGCCATATCAGATGGTTTATCCAAACTGTCAGAACAAGAGCTGAAGCGTGAGTAACTTTGCAGAGAACCTTCTGGGAAATTCAAGCAGTAGAAAGTCTCAGTAACCAGCCATAAGTTCGTTTACTACCAAGTCATCCTTGAAAATTGTGGGGGAACCAAAAGGTTCCCCCAAAGTGCACAGTGAGATACTTCTGGAGGAGAGGAAGGAGACCAAGAATTTAAATTTGCTTCACTACAGAGCCAAATATCCATGTGTTGCCCAGGCTTGTGCAGTTAATAGAAAGTCTGGGGTCAGCCACGTGGCCTGGGAGGGAGTGACTTCATGATGAATGATGACTGCTGAGTGCCTTTCTAAATCTCAGCAGAGCTTTAAAATGTGAGGGCACTCACTTGCAAAATCAAATTTGCTTTGGCGTCAGAGAAAGTAGGAGGAAAGCCTCAGTTACTAGAACTAGTATGGCCAGTCTCGGGCTGGGATGGGATATATCCATATTGTGTAGAGGGGAGTACAGCAGCAAGCTCATTGAATGGCATTGATCCTCCTGGAAGCTCTCTGTTTCGGTCTCATCATCTGCATGAACAGAGAGTCCATTTCAACTCTTAATATTTTATAAGCATTGATGAGCATTTTATGAGCATTTGACTCCAATATATCTTAAGCGTTAGTCAATGGGAAAACTCCACATAGCTTGAGGTTTTGATGAGAACTTCTCTATACATCTCTACCTTTTAAAAACTCCTTTTGTGTCACCTACAGAACTCTTCATAGCAATAGAGAGGCCTTATGAAATTTGATAATCTGGTGCATCAGAGTTTTATTAATATCCTACCCCCCCAGTGCTGGCAGCAAACCTCACCATTTTGTCCTCCAAAAGGAAGGTGACTTTTAAGAAGCAATCCAGAAGGTGTGTTAGGAAAGTAAGTATTATGGCCAGGAGACAACTTATTATGTGTTTGCTCCTTAAAAATATGAAAATAAGGCAGCTCATGTGAACAAAAATATTATGGAACTATGTGTATAATTATGCCCAAGCAATAGGCGCGCATTTATAAAACCACTACCCTAAAATAAAAGTTAAGGGCTTGAGAAGTGGGAAGCCCTATTTTCCAATACCAGGAGCAGTGTGGCTCTCTCAGTAGCCAGGAGGTGGAGACCCCCACCCCGCTGAGCCACACAGCACAGCTTTTAGGGTTGATTCTCCCAGCCAAGGCCTGAAGGAGCTACTGACATTTCTCTTAAAAGAATCATTCAGTCTTTGTTTCCTTCTGTCTGCTCGTTTGACCTTATTTTGTTTTGAAACAGAGAAGAAAGAAAGAAAGAAAGAACTAAATTGGTGGGGTGGACTGGAGTAGGCTGGGGGGCGGGGAGATTGAGGCACAGGGAGGAAAGGAGAAGTCCATGCTGTGACACCCGCAGACAAGATCACAGGCTGCTGATCGTCACCCAGGATGTTACTGTTTGCTTGCTGTAGTCTTATTTGTTCCTGCTTTTCTCATTTCAGATTCTCACCCTGATGTAATAAGTCACCGTCTTCCCAGCCATCATCCTCGTATTGACAAGCAAATGTCACCCACGTTTGATTGACATCTGTTGCTCCTGAATGCAAAAGTATGATTTAGGATTCAATTCTACTTATTTATTTAAAGCCATTCTTGTGTGTCTTATGTATTTGTTGGTGGGGTAACTTGCCTGATATCTACCCTGGAGGCCTTCCAGTAATATGATAAACCATGCTGTTCCTTCTGCAGCTCACCCACTGAGAATGGGGGCTCTTCTTTCTTGTATTTCTCCTACTTCTCCCCTCCCTCAATGTATATTCGGGAAATCTGCTATGGAGCTTATAGAACTCTTTCCATATGCTAGGAAAAGACCTTGCCCAGCACTTGTGCAAAAGCTTCTTGCTTGATCTTTTGACGCCATTTTGACAAGTGGTTATTTCTTGTACATTTAGCGACTTTAAGTAAACGCAACTTCAGGGCCATTGGCGGTATCCCCCGAAAGACTGCTAGAACTGTAAGACTGTAAGCACAGTACGTATGTATGCACTCACCACGGTGCAGCATTTGTAAAAAGGACCAACCCCCTCCTCCCCCAGAGGCGGTGGACATGTTCATTTAAAATCATTCACAAATGTTCTTTGGCTTTTCAACATACCTCACTGTTCTTGGGGCAACATCTTATTCATTTACAAGGCAGAGGAGGAAAACCATCAGGTTAAAAGAAAATCACATCTACCATCTGGAAAATTCTAAAAGGCCCTCCTTCTGTTAACAGTGGCATTTTGAAAACACCTGAAGCACTGATTGTAGAGGAGCTAGCAAAGAAACTGTCAACTCAGCCACCCTCCTTTCAACCTTCACCTCCACCCTCCAACTGGGGCTGCTGGCAGTGGGGAAATCGGGGATTTAGGTGTGACCCTTGAGCTCTGAAAGCTGTCGCACAGCTGTCTCCCTTCCCCAGGTGGGTCCAGCAGGACCTGCCATCGCTTGGTTCAGCAAGGGAGTATTCAGAATCTCACTGTTCATCCATGTGCAGAGAGAGAAAAAAAGAGAGGCCGAAAAAAAAAAAAAAATCCCACATTGTCAGAGTAATGCCAAACTCTCTCTGAGTGGGATGAGCAGAGCAGATGCTGCAATGAGATGCCAAAGCGGCTCCCCTTCCTCTGTGCCTTGGGTGCCTATAAATTGCTCCGGCGCGCGTTTGTCAGCCTCCTCTTCTCCTGGCAGGTGGTACCCAGGCAGAATTCTGCCTTCAGTCTCTCTCTCGCTCCGCTCCCGGCCGTGAGGCGCTCGCCGCTGCTCGCTCGCTCCTCCGCCCCAGCTCTGAGCCTCGCCGTGCCGACCGTGCCCGCCGCCGCCGCCGCTGGGCGCACCCGGGGGACGCCCGGGCCCACGCGGGGCTTTGGGGTGCGCGTCTATTCGAGTTGTGGTGGTGGCAAAGGAGGAAGAGAGAAAGGAGGCAATAAAAAAAAAAGGCAGCGGACGGGCGAACTGAGCGAGCGAAAGAAGAGGAGGAGGAGGCAGAAAAAGGCAACTTCAGACGGAAAGTTGGTGCGAACAGGCGCAGTCTGCAAAAACGGAAAAGTCGATCGCAGGCGGCGGCGGCATAAAAGTGTGAGCTGCCCGGGCGAGCTCAGGAGGCGGCGGCTGGCTCTGCCCTCCCGGTGGCCGCGCCGGCGCCGGCTGCAGCCACAGGTGCGAAGGAGCTCGCGGGGGGCGAGGGCGCCCCGCGCACCCCTCCCCCGGCCCCCACCCCGGGCTCGGGACTTCGGCTCAAGTCACTGGGCGCCCGCGCTCCCTCCCCAGCCGCAGCCTCCGCGGGGGGAGCAGGAGTCGGCAGCAGCGGCCGGCGCACGCACGCCCAGGGGAGTTGGGGTTCGCAGGGGGTTGTTTTCGGCTCTGAAGAGGTCCCCGCCCAACCTTCAAAATTCTGTCCAAAAGCAGACAAGAGGATCGCCCCGCGCTGAGCCGGCTGGTGGGCAGCAGGAGGCGCCTGATCGCCGCCGGGGCGCTGGGGGTGGTGATGGTGCTGCTGCTGGTGATCCTCATCCCGGTGCTGGTGAGCTCGGCCGGCACGTCGGCGCACTACGAGATGCTGGGCACCTGCCGCATGGTCTGCGACCCCTACGGGGGCACCAAGGCGCCCAGCACCGCTGCCACGCCCGACCGCGGCCTCATGCAGTCCCTGCCCACCTTCATCCAGGGCCCCAAAGGCGAGGCCGGCAGGCCCGGGAAGGCGGGTCCGCGCGGGCCCCCCGGAGAGCCCGGGCCACCCGGCCCCATGGGGCCCCCGGGCGAGAAGGGCGAGCCGGGCCGCCAAGGCCTGCCGGGCCCGCCCGGGGCGCCCGGCCTGAACGCGGCCGGGGCCATCAGCGCCGCCACCTACAGCACGGTGCCCAAGATCGCCTTCTACGCCGGCCTCAAGCGGCAGCATGAAGGCTACGAGGTGCTCAAGTTCGACGACGTGGTCACCAACCTCGGAAACCACTACGACCCCACCACCGGCAAGTTCACCTGCTCCATCCCGGGCATCTACTTCTTCACCTACCACGTCCTGATGCGCGGAGGGGACGGCACCAGCATGTGGGCTGATCTCTGCAAAAACAACCAGGTGAGCGCGGGCGGGCGGCGGGGAGGGCGGGGAGGGAGCGCGGGAAGGTGCGGGCGAGAGGGAGGAGACCCCGGAAATGGGGGTGGGAGCCCGCGGAGGAAGGGCGCGGCGGCCGGGCTCCCTGGAGCGACGGCAAGGGGGGACGCCGTCCCACCCTGGAGAGGCGGGGGTCGTGCGCGCAGGAGGGCGCCCCGCGGCCTGGAGAGGGCAGTTCCGGAGTCTGGGACCCTCGATCGGTGCGCGCCCCTGCGAGCGCGACCCTCGAGGGGCGGGAAGCCGGGAGCTGGGTCCCGGGGACAGCTCGTGCGCTGGGGAGTCCCGGCGCGGGAAGCGACCCCTGGCCGTGGGATCCTCCGCAACAGAGGGTAGCTTACGGGCTTTCTGGGGAGTGGAGAGGCCTGGGGGAGTCCGGAATGGGCGTGGCAGGGTGACCGACTCGGGGGTGGTAGACAAAGGCCGGAGGGAGAAACAAGGGCCCCGAAGGAATGAGTCCAAGCAGGGCTCAGCCACAGCGGAGGAGCGACCGTGGGGCTCGCCGTCGCCGAGTCCTTGCGGTGTCCCAGGCCGTGAAACTCACATATAGTCAATTTCAAGGCGCAAACTCCAGTTTCGTCTTCAGCCAAAAAATAGCGGAGGGGAGAGGCAAGGAGTGCTGATAACAAAAAGAATAGTTGAGATTCGGGGGTTCATGCGGTGAAACACAGCGCGCAGCCAGACTCAGAACCCAAACTCTCTATGGAGTCGGAGGACGCTCAGGCAGGTGGCCTGGGGGGCGACCGGTTCGAGCCCAGCCCCGGGTCTATCGGCCTCTGGACCAGCCGGCCAAGAGGATTTGATTCCCTGAGCCGGTCGGCGCCGCTACAAGGGCTACGCATGGGTCTGCAGTATTCTGCTGGGGCCACTTTACTGTGGAGAAATTCGAGGTCATTGCAAAACCGAAGCTTGTTTGATCTCTTAGTCAAAGGAGGAAAATAATATTTGTAACTACCTAAAAGTGTAATGGGACCTTCTGTGCACGCTGAATCAGTAGCCACTGAGGCGAGGCCTTGCAGCCTGCAGCCTGCGGTGTGGGCTGAGTTTCTCGGTTTTAACTTTGCTTATTGAGTGGCATAGGGGATGGCCCGCGACCCTGGCATCGCCATCAAGAGACCTCCTCTCCTGCAGCAACTTTGACTTAACGAGGTCTATTGGGCTTTAGGTAACTCGACCCCTGGACATTCAGAGATTCTTAGCTATAACCCAGGTTTCTGTTAAGCACCATTCAAGCAGGATTCGGAAGACCTACTTCAGTGTCAGAATTCTTTCAAAAGTGAAAGACCAAAAAAAAAAAAAAAAAAGTCCTAAATGCGTAAGAGAGAAAAAAGACAAAAAACGTCCTATTCTCTACCCTATCCTACAAATAGCTTAAGGGACCCTCAGGACACATATAACAAAAAGAGGAAAAATGGCCACCAGGAGGCACTGACAGGGTTGTTTATTATAGTTATTATGCATGAAAATAATATTAAGATAAATAAAAATTATTCACAGAACAGTAAAACAGTTATAGGCAAATGGCTAAAACGGGCAGGACTCACTGTACCAGAATGGAGCTATTGAATCACCCTCACAAAAAGGCTTATGAACAGTCCCTCAGCAGGCAGCCATGAGACACCCCTTTATTTGCAAATTGGCTCTCTTCTGACTCAAAGGTCAGGTCTGGAAAATACAATCGGGCTGAAGAGATGATTTTTAGAGGTATCAATTAAAATGAAATGATTCCAATTTTATCAGCAAATGTGTAAAAATGCTCACATCTTTAAATATCTGGAAATTGCAATTGCATGAAAAAAGAAGGGATTAATACATTTAAATTAGTTTAAATGTTGATGTCTAGACTGCTGAGCCTGTGTATATTACACTGATTTGAAGAAAATAACACCATGTAGGTGTTCTATGTGCGTTTTGTTTTTAAAATTATTTCACTGTTTGGGGTGTAAAATCTTCCTTTGTATCACACTAGCACACACATTCCATGAGGATCAGGAAAAATAGTAAGGTAAAACAGCTGACCTTATAATGTATAAGTCTTTTCATTGGTAATATTAAGCTGCTACTTCTGCAAAAGGTATGCAACAGGTAATTCAGAAAAATAAATCTATAGTGGTAAACATTTTTTTTTAGTTCAGTGTGGACTATTTTGGAAAATGGTTACTACACTACTACAGTTAAGGAATTTTATCTCTAGATTAGAACTATTTTGTCAAGTCCAGTCTGCAGGCAGTTACAAATGAGAAATCTTTTAAAATCTTTTTATTAATTTTAAATAATACTTCACTCTTGCTTTTCAATTATATTCTGGTCTGATCACTTCTTAGAATGGCAGGTTCCCTCTCTGAGCTGACTTAATTTTTCATAAAACAGAAACTCAGAGATCCATGTCAGTGTAATGTTCTATGGATTAAGTGGATTTTGAGAAGCACAAAAATTAAACTAAAAATGCAGTTCCCTCTAAGAGAGAGAAATGCTTCTGGACTGTAACCATATGAGAGCCATTTTATTTATACTTTGTGTAGAATGTAAGATCACAGATGGAAACATCAAAGACCAGTAAATTAACCTGATGTGCCACTTAACCTTTTGTTTATGATTCCACAGAAGTACAATGAAAATGAAATTACGAGAACATCAGTAGCAATTAATTAAATTACAAATGTCACCATAAATATGATCTCTAATGATAGATCCTCACTAATAAGATAATGCTAAAACTATGAAACCTATTGCAGACACAGAAACATATCCCTAAAATGACCGCAGCTCTCATACTCCCCATGAAGCCATCAACCTAAATTTAATCCTACCATTTGTTGAAAGCCCATGACAGTGCATATTAAAGGTAAAAGTTCAACTCAAATAGCTTTACATTTGGAAAGAGGAAATCTCTTTAATGTTGATAATCCTTTTAGCAGAAAACATGAAGAAAAATTGCTATTTGAATACAATCACTCTAATGCCACTATAATAAATAAGCCACTCGAATGAAAACTAATACTGTTTCAGGATTAAAAGCATAAAATAATTAAAGACCAGTTGGTACTCTTAAAAATTTATTAGTTATGGCACCGATGCCCATGAAATATTTTTAAAAGGATGAGTGGTTTGTGGGTTGGTATTCGCTTATTAGAGAGATCAATGACATGTCAAATTCATAATCTTTTTAGGGTTAAAGAAATACGGACTAAACATAAAGCAGAATCTAAATAGTTATCTTGTAATAAGAAAAGATATTAGAGTAAATTCAGGTAGAAATCGGTTGATTGCGCTGAAGGAAGGATGGATCTTATTCCCAGACAGAATGCTGAAATCACTGTACATTTAGGAATCTGGAAACAGCCTCCAGGGTGAACACATTGCCTTCCTCAATAGTTTGATGGCTTGAAAGAATTGTTGAAGTCACTGAGCTGAATACTAGAGCTTGAAATTTCAAGTCCTGTTATATCTTTAGAGTAGGATCAGGTGAGCAGCCATACCAAAATCATGCCAGGTACACTGGAGTATGGCAATTATTTAATTGGGACAGTCTTACGGTACAGTATAGGTTAAAATCTTACAGAATTACATTCATTAAAAAGCAACCACACTGGCTTGATCCAACAAAGGTGGTAGAAACTGTGAGGGTAACCTTTCAGTCTGTGGAATCACTCTAATGCATTCGCAGGAATTTGTGGTTACGCCTACTGAATAAAAATGGTGACGTTCACTCGGTTTTGTGGTTACACCCTGGAGAATAAAAATGGCATTATATTTTTAAAAGGATTATTGTGTCTAAATCAAGTAATTTTAGTATGTCCTGTTTCTCCAATACCTTCATGTAGAAAACCATGTTAAAGCCCAGTAACCATAGAACATGTCCTAAATACCCAAAGCACTGAATAAAATATGTCTGGTTATTAGTAATAGCTGAGGAGTATATTATGGGTTGATAACTAATGTATTACTAATATAGCTCATGAATATTTTGTTTTTAATTTTTTTCACCATTAAAAATCCAAAGATGAGAAAAAAACACAAGTCATAATAGCAATATCCTTCTTGTAGATTTGTTTCCCTGGGAATTAATGGCTAGATGAAATTAATGAATCAAAGCATTCAACTCCTACAAACTCATGATTAATCTTTAGAAAATATTATGAAGTCAAACTGCGTCATTATTTAATGGTCAAAACGGACCACTTTACTAAATTGGCATATATATTGGAGTCAGTGCTTCCAAGCATAATTACATGGTATATTGCTTTCATTATATTAGTGCCTGTTAGTACAGCGTTAAGCAATTCTAAATCCTTTAAGCCATTTTCTCCTTTTGCTATGTGATACCCAGAAAGACACTTTAAAGATACTACTCAAATGACTTTACAAGTTCAGCAGTGTTAAAGAGTCTTCTTTTTTTAACATTTCAGCATTAACGTGAGACTATATCACAAGAAAATTTAATTGGAAAACTCATCATTTAAATTTTGAAAGAAATGCATGGAAATTCTTGACTTCTGTCTCATTTCTCTCATTTTGCCAAGTGATAAAATCCAGCATATTGTACCCCAAATCATGCATTATTACATAGTGCAGGTTTACAAAACCACTAAATCACTTGCTATGTTATTCAGGGAAATATCATTATAGTGGAATAGAAATGAAACAAGCCACAAAGTAGAAGATGTTTTACTGAAATAAATCAAATCTAAGTCTGCCTGTTGAAAGATTTTCCAAGGCAGAATCACAATATATCTAAATGAATATGAAGCCTAATTTGAGCTAAGGATCTGACAGAATGTCCACAATGCATGAGATGATAGGCAATTTGACTGTTTGTAAATGTCTATCAACTCACTAATGAGATCACAGGCTTACCATGGGCAGATTATAAGCAGCCTCTGCCCTCAAATCAAGCCACATATTTAGAATCTCCTAAGTGTAAGTGGATATTCAACGAAATCATTCAAAAATTCTTGAAACTTGAGAGGCCTCAGAGCATGAAAATTTAGTCCTTTCTTTAACTTTTAGATATGTTGAGGTTAAATTCTTGATTTAAATGCACATGTCATAGTTAAGTAATAAAAAGACACGATGGAAAAAAGAACTCTGAAAACTCAGGTGATATAATCAAAGATGTATAAATGAGCTAAGCTTCTGAAGCAGCCTGGTAAAGGGGGCTTTACATGAATTAGATTTGGAAAGCCCTAAATCAAAAGACTTTTTCTTTTTTTTTTTTTTCTTTGTAAGTAGTAGAGGAGTTGGTATTTTCCTGGGTATTTTTAGCTATTACATACCTCAATTTTCTAATAATTGTGGTGAACAGCTGAACTTAGACTTGAACTTCTGTACTCATAAACAGCTGATTAGAATATTGCTATCTGGCTTAAATTAAAATGCAAAAAATACTATTAGTTTCATTTCAAAATGTGATTGGGCATAGGGATCGAAGGAGTTAGAAAAACGAGTGATACAGGAAGATAATAAATTGTATGCATAGTTTAGAATGTGTAGTTAGATAAGACTGCCAGAATGGTCCCCACTGAAGCACTATTTTGTCCCTTTCTGTCCTCCTTCTCACTAACGTAGCGGAAACTGCCACAGCACTATCCTCATAAAGCTCTGAGGTCAACATGGACTTTGCTATGCTAAATTCTGTACTATGGCAGCAAGTCAGCTTGTGATGCTACATGAATGGCAAAAAAGAAAACTTGAGAATTCTCATTTACGCATCCTAATTCTTGTCTGTTTCACATAGGTGCGTGCTAGTGCAATTGCCCAAGATGCTGATCAGAATTACGACTATGCCAGTAACAGTGTGGTTCTTCATTTGGAGCCGGGAGATGAAGTCTATATCAAATTAGATGGCGGGAAAGCCCATGGAGGAAACAACAACAAATACAGCACGTTTTCTGGATTTATTATTTATGCTGACTGATAATGCAGAAACTAAGCTTATTATTCTGAGTTTGAACACTGGATTCGTATGGCTAACGTCAGTGAATCAAGGATCCCAGGGGATGCCAATGGCAGGGCACCTCAGTTGTGTATATGTGGGGAAATCAAATGCTACCTGACTCACATCTGTATCACTCAGAAACATTATGTAAAAAATATCAAAGCAAGATAAGCAGATGTGTGATCCACTACCGCCAAAGCAAATACTCCTTATCGTTAGTGTCCATGTGAATGAAGTCCTATATAGATCACAAATTTTTATAGACAAATCTAAGACATTGAATTATTTCTTCTATATATATGATACTTTGGTGTACTGTGATCTTGCTGCTTTTATCCATATGTCAGCTTTGGTTCTTGTGAGTTTACCTGCTTATTATGATACTTGGAGTCCATTCATAGTGTGGGGAAGAATGATTTTTGCCCTGCAGGAGAAGGTCTAATTGAAATAATGCTGCTTGTCCCCAAAGAAATTGTTTGCCTTGTACTCTTGTTAACCTTAGAGCTAGACCTGGGAATGATTCAACTTCAAGCCTTAACCTGGAATTTTCTGGATTTGAGGGAATTCCCAAGCCTATGATCTTTTTCACATTTTCTTTTTCTTATATGAATTTTCTTTTCTCTCTTTTCTGGTGATAGTCTTTAAAAATAGAGATTGACAGTGTATCATAGGATTACCCTCTAAGTGTGAAAATGTGTAATTATGTACGGTATTTAGAAAAAGCCCTTATGTGTCCATTTTGTCAACTGAATACATTTAGATTCACTGGGAAAGTCAGAGAAATTTATTCTTTAGTATCAAATCAAACCGAGGCTTTTGCCATCTTTGGAAGAAAAGATTATTCATAACCCAATGCACAAAGGTTTAATTTGAGCTGCTGCATACGTCACCAAGGGGACACTAGGTGAGGCCTTCAAATGATTACTACAAGTCTGTGGCCTGAGGTTATTTTAAAATTAACAATTTCGCATATAGCCTATATGACAACAGAGTGTTTATATTTTATACAAATATCTGCTAAACATGCACACATATACTCACACACACATATATATATTAGATGAAATGTTTTATTTATGTATAAAACATATACATATAAAACATTTATATATATGGCTTTATTCCACAGGGCACAGTGGCTGTATAGCCTCAAAATTTTAATATAAAAAAGTGTATGCATATATACACACACAAACATGCACAAATTATTTAACTTATTTTGGGTTAAAATATATTTTGAATGACAATATATGGAGTAGCAAAAACAGTTAAAATGACTTCTCTTTAAGAGTTATCCAGAAAATTAATTGTATTAGGTCAAAATGCCCTTTATTTCACAGGTCTGTAAGTTAAGGCTATGGTTGCTCTATTACCATATGCCAATCAATACTTTAACTGCATTCTGTGACAGACTGTTAATATGAGGACTGCAGACACCAAGTGGCTCTCCTTTGCAGTGTTTATGAATTACATGCATTTGAGCTATCAATTTTTTTTTCTTTTTTCTCAGGTGGAGTGAAGCTGACAGTACAGTAGATTTGGAGAGTAATACAAATCCTTTCTTTCTGGTTAGAACACACTGCCAAAAGCCATCTCTTTCATCTAAGGAAAAGATTAAAAATGCATGTTGATATCTCCTAACTATCACACAACTTCCACTATTACAATGAAAAATCTGTTCCCCTTTCATTGCCTCTGAAAACTCTTTGACGAGTAGATTTCAAAAACAGAGATTTTAAAAATTTGCTTGCTTTACTGGTGAAGGACATTTGCATTTTTTTTTTTTATTTATTTAAAGGAATTAGTTTGTTCTCCTGGCTCATTCCTCTTTGTTACTTTCTGTTCCAATACACAGAAAGCTTGATCATCTTTGATCAGCAGAAATATCTTTTATTTAGCAAAGCTCAACTTCCCAAGAGTTATGCATGGTGTGCCTATCTGAAGGTGGTGTTAGCTCTGTTGAAATGCCTGGGTCTGAGTAACTGTCATGATTTTTATGATTAAAAACAGACTCTTCATCAAGAATAATGACTAATTCTAATTGGTCTTTGTGATATGTAAGATAACTCATAAATGAATTGCAATGGATTTTATTTCGAATTAACTATATATTTATCAAAGAGGAACTGGCAGCAAGGGTTTGGAGAATATTTTTAGGTACCAAATAGCATAGTGAGGATTCAACCAAAAGATGAATTTATAAGCAGCAGTGCCCATCACCTAAGTGTTTTAACTAACAGGTTTTAAAAACATTTTATTTACACAAAATATCAGGGCTGGATACCTTTTAAAGAGGAGGCTCAAGTATCGGGCTGTCATTTCCAATAGATCTGACCTTTTCTTCAGATACATAAGCATTATTTTCTCTGTTTAGGTCCAAGGAAAAACAAAAGGTAAAGGAAATAAAGGGAATATACATAAGGCAAACATTTCTCTTTTTTTTTTTGCATTATATCTTACCAATTAATTAAATTGTGGCCTTTGTTATTATAAATGTAATGATTCATTAAACTATATTATGTAATATATTTTGACTTTTATGATTGAATTTTTATAATTCAGTAGTGTTATGTGTTCTTATACAAACTTTGCAAAACAGCAAAATGTATGGCAAAAATAGATACCGGAAAGCCAAAGATATCAAAATCATTTCAGTAGAAGAATATATAGATAGGTGGACAGTATAAAATTAACCTTTCAAAATATTTTTATCATTGTGAATTGGTAATTGTATTACAGTCAGTATCCTTTGGGGAAAAAAGTCTCAAAATTTAACTTCCCTTGTTGCAGAAGCTATTTTACAGTGCCATATTATTCATTAAGCATTAATTAAAGAACAGCAGGATAATTAGTAGGATCATCAATATTACAAGAAACATTAGATCGCTCAAGAAGGAAATAATTTAACTAGAAACACTTTAAATTTTCTCAAGTAGTGCAGCTGATAGATTAGGGAGAAAAACAACAACTCCGCTTAGGGGATATAGACTTTAAATCATTGTTTAGAAATAGGTACTTCTGTATTTATTTTGTTAAGTTAAAATAATAGGGCTCAATTAGGCTGAGTAACTCCCTAGAGGCACAGTTGTAATAGCTGGTCTCAGAGAAGGCAAACCCTCCTAGTTCTCATCAGAAGGAAATGATCTGTCATTAGTCCTAGGTAACTGATTAATATCTCACAGTGGACTGGAAATCGCTGAATGTTCTCTGCAAGTTTTATACTCAAGGTGTGAATTCATAAGCAACCATCCTATTTGAAAGTTAGCCATTGCTTAGGGTTCTCTATTAGAATCTTATCAAGCACATTCTCAGTTATGCCTCTCAGCAACATTTTAGGAACAACATTGGTGAGTATATGAGAATAGCCGTGACCTCCATATTTCATCAGCCGGGTTTTCGTATGTATGTCATGTGCTACCAGAATTCGATCTTCACAGCCCTCTTCCACCAGGAGACGCACCCTGTGAAAAATGTTAACTCATTAGATGTCATTTGTCTTTCATTTTCGCTTTTCAGGATGCTTTCAACTTTTTACTCATTAACCTATTGTGCTTGTCGTAAAGATACTGACTTCTACTGTGGCGTGTGTACTGAGAGACCTTTAATAAATATTGTGTGGTGACGATAAAAATATTGCTGCATCCTAGCAGGAACATATCCTTATTCCATGCATACAGAAATTTCTAACCTGTGACATTTATGACCATGCCTGGCAATACCGCATTAAAGATAGCTTCTAATAGGATGTGCCAGTTTGGATGAATGACCATTTTGGCATTTCACTAAATAACTTTGTTCTGGATTTGTATTCAGCAATCCTCTCTCAAATGCCTCTCCCTGTGGGCCCATTTTTCAGATCTCATTCTTGCTCTCTCCTTTTATCTGGCCAAAAAATATCAAGGACTGTTTGCGATTAAAATAGGGAAACAAAAGGAATCTCACTACAAGTAAAATATTCTGAGAGCAAAATCAGTTGGTCTGCAAGTGAGGGGCATTTGATAAGCTACAAAGCCACTGAAAAAAGGTTGGTCAGCATTTTAACCATTTGCCCCTTTGAAGTCTATGGCAATTTTGATTTAGTTGTAGCCTCTGAGCATTGGATTAAACTGACCAATACAAATATATTCTGTCTTCTTTCCATGTCAGCAAGATTGCTAAAATAATAAGCTGTTCCTTTAAATTTATAGTCAGTGGACTAAAGAACAGCTTCCTGACTATTCTCTAAAAATGAAATCCTCTTTGCTTTGTTAAATGCTGGAATCTGTAGTGTGAGTCACCTCCTGACAGCCACCATCTGTACGTGTCTGGACTCTGGGCAGTGTCTGTCGTGACTTCCATGGGTCTTTGATGGTAGAAGATGCCACTCACAGACAATGGCTCTTCTATGGGATTCTCTGAATAGTTTTTTTGGCGTCTAGATTCTAAAGTGGATCTAGACGGACGGACAGTGCCTTCCTCCAGAGGCTGATTATTTGAAAGGTATCTTTTTTGTTTCAAAAGCATTTCTTGGTGTCCTAGTACATGAGTCATATTTAATAACTACTACAGTGAGCAAAACGTGGGGTACTACACACACAAAAAAAACTCAAGCACAAAGCCCTGCCCTCTGAGAACACATATTTTAAAATAAATTATAATGGAAGAATAGACTTTGTATCTGCAGGTCAAAGGAATGCAAGCACTAGCAGAGAAGAACCATGCCTGTCCTATAAGTGCATGTAATGACTTTTGTGCCACTATGATTTTTTGCCTCATTGAAATTTGTATACTATCCTGAAGTTCTGATCTGCAGTTACTTTTGGAACACACTCAGTTTAGGGGAATTATCTAAGATAAGTTATATTATCACATAAAAAGACAAAGATTTGACAGAATGCACACACAATACTGAAGCTTAGGGTGACAAACCTTGATCCACAACTGCAAAGAAGTATCACGGTATAGGAGGTTTTAGGAAACACTTTCTCCCTGATATTTTCTGGGCATTTTCCAAAATTTTTGCCTATGTTTCTTATCTGATAAATATAATTTCTCACACTATAAAGGCAGATCATGTGGATAAACAAATTCCTTTAAGATGTCCTTTGTCAGACCTTGAAACACAATGTTATCAAATCATGAAGTAGAATGAAAGAGTATAGAGGACAAGATACTCATACTTAAAACCGGGAATCCTTAGAACCCATTAAGTCAAGAATCTGGAGACTACTTATGAGAAAGATAACGTTATGGCTCTGGACACACAATCATATCCTGACTATGAAGAAAACCTGCCCCGTCCTGCTTACACTAAAAGATCATCTCTCCTGTTGTGCCATTATATGGAAGAACAGGAGTTACAGAGATGCTGCCAGAAAAGGGGGAGCCACTACAGACGAGAAGACAAAAAATCACGGTAATTATAGAAATACAAATGAGTTAGTGTTTGCAAACAAATATTAGAGAGAGACTACAAAGTGTGAAAAGGCAGAGATATAATAAGATTTGAGAAATGGAGCAGAAGATTGAAAACAGGTGTTAGACACAGAATTTCTGGTGCTGAACACCAGAGGTAGGCAGAAGCGTGCTTCTGTGTTCATGCACTTCAAGGTTTAAGACTACGATGGCTCAGAAAAGGACCCTGTGGTCCTTTCATGCATGATGAAAATCAAGTGTGCAAGACAGTGGGTACTGGAGCACACGCAACCCAAAAGGGCATTCAGTGCTTAACATGGGCTGTCCTTGGGTCAAGCGAGAATGCATGGTTTAATTTAAGGAAGATTAAGCACACACACATACACGTACGTATGGAATAGCACACAGGTATTTTATATATATATACACAGATTTATATTATAATAATTTTTATTATTTCCATACATCCAGAATAGCTATATTTAGCACAGTAAAGGGTAAACAAATGGCTAAAAGGAGCTAAGAAGGAATGCTGGGGGAGCCATCGGTCATCTGACCCTTCTATCTCCTTCACAGATGCCCCTTTACGGATCTTCTTTCTCTTGTTCTAGAAGGTCTGGGAGCCTCATGCGAGACACAGGTGTGCAAAAGATGCACCTCACTACCACAAAGGGGCTTCGGAAAAGGAAGCCGATCCAGAGTGCAAAGTTCCCATTTCCAAGATGATTTAGAAAACATGTGTTGAGGCCGGGCGCGGTGGCTCACACATGTAATCCCAGCACTTTAGGAGGCCGAGGCGGGCGGATCACGAGGTCAGGAGATCAAGACCATCCTGGCTAACACGGTGAAACCCCGTCTCTACTAAAAATACAAAAAATTAGCCGGGCGTGGTGGCGGGTGCCTGTAGTCCCAGCTACTCGGGAGGCTGAGGTAGGAGAATGGCGTGAACCTGGGAGGCAGAGCTTGCAGTGAGGTGAGATTGCGCCACTGCGCTCCTGCCTGGGCGACAGAGCAAGTCTCCATCTCAAAAAAAAAAAAAAAAGAAAAAGAAAAAAAGAAAAAAGAAATAAAACATATGTTGAGGGCATTGATCAGGAAATCATGTTTTTGAGATTGTGAAAGATGAGAATGACTGAATGCACTGCACTATTTTAAATTCCAGATGCCCTTAGGCAAGGAATAGTCTCCTCTGAGTATAAACTAACTACTAGGGCTTTAGGGGAACAGGTTCACCTGTATTGAATCGGGTTCCTGGGCAAGTAAATTAAAATAATAAAACAAAAATAAACAAAGAAACAATACATCTACTTGTCAAATAACTGATCTGAGTATTAAAAGACAGAACTTCATTGGTCAAGACAGGTGAAGTCATTTGCTCATGTAGAGTTGAGAGTTGCCATCTTACTTAACTAATGCAACACTGATTAACTAGCTTTCCCTAATGATACTAAACTTGAAGCATAGTACTATTAATGAGGTGATCAAGGCAGAATGCCAGTACTTGGAGACAGCAGAAGGCATACAGACGTAAATGTGACTTCCCAGGGAAAGATCCTCAGGATGTCCCAACTATGACCACTGGCTCAAGATCTTCCCCTCAACCCAGTGTGCCTTATTCAACTAGCAATACTTGAATCTCATGGTTCCTGGACATCACTTCTCAATTCCAGCTTTGCTACTTCCACGGCAACCACTTTTCTGTTCTCATAATTATATTCTAGTTCTTGTTATCATAGGGAACTACTGCTCCCCCTCTGAAATCTCCATCTTCAGTTTCCCACTCCGATCATGTTACATTTTTCTACTTTTTCCACTCACTTCTTCTACTGTGTATATATATACACACACACATATATATATACACATACACATACAGTATATATATTTGAACATATATATATATATATATATGCTCCACCCACTTCATTAAAGCCTGCAGTCCACTTATTTGCCCTGCTATGCTTTTCCTGTCTATCTGACCATTCCTCTCTATGCTTTCTTCCCTCCAACTTGGATCCCATGACCCTCATCTCAACTCCTCCATTGTTATCCATCTCTTTCAGATAGAATCCCAACCCTCAATCTCTTGAACTGTTCCCATTTTCTGCTTGTACGCACACAACTTCTCTGGTTCCACTACCAAAACGCAAAACAGTTTTGCTTTGGAAAATAATCACCAAATCGTGTGCATTGGTGCCAATACACAGGCATGCAATCATGATTTCTAGACTCAACTAGGTCTCGCACATAACACATCCATGTCAAGATCTCTCTCATTGACCTGACAGCCATTCCTAGCCTTTCTCCTGCTCTACACAGTGCTGCCCTAAATCCACTCTTTTTTTCTCAGGAGATAACCATGTCCACCTCACAGAGACACTAGAGGACATGTGGCCATGTGTCCTCAGTCTCCTGTTTCCCTCACTAAGACTTCTGTTTGCATTCACCCCATCGCTGTGTCATGCCCTCTCATTTCCATGGAGAAAGCATCCTTTCAACCGACTTTCTATTTGTTCCCCAGATTCCATCTATTTGTTGCCTTAGGAACCTTGCTCTATATTTCTTATCTATCCAGAGTTTTTAAAGTCAACATCTATTGAACACTTCCATATTCTGCACCAGACACTCAGACAAAAACTTGGAAAACATTATTTCATGTCAATTCTATAGTAACCCTGTGGAATGGGCACCACTTCCCTGGACTCATTCTCTCTGGCTCTGTCTCTGCTTTTGCTCTTAAGTCACATAAACATTGCTCAACTCTTACTAGAAGCTTCCCTTGATCCTTTATTGACTTGTAACTCCAGACCCATCTCCTTGCTTCCCTCCACTGCCACGCTTCTTGAAAGAGTCACCTCAACATCCTCTCTCCTCTTCCTCACGGCCCACCCATTTCTCAAGCCTTTTCCACTGAGATTGCACTCTGTTTATAAAATGTGAGCCTCCTAATTGTGAAATCCAATGGATGCTTTTCAGTCTTTATTTCCCTTGATATTTGTCACTTATTACCGGCATTCAAGCCCTTCTGCCCTGAGACTTCCTCTCTACTGACTTCCATAAGAATATATATCTCTCATGTTATCACTTTGAAAACTTCTCCTCGACCTTTCCTTGAGAAACGGTTCCTACTCCATTCCTTAAATGTCTCTGTCCCCAGGTCTCTGTCCTCATCTTCTTCTCTGAGTGATGTCATTCATTCCCACGGTTCAACTATCACATACAAACCATATCTTAGGGCTTCACTGGGTAGCAACACTTAGATATTCCCAAACGAAAGCCTTCCTTGTCAATCTCCAATTTATTTCTCCTCCTAGGTATTCTAACTTGGTTCATTCAATCTTCTTATCACCATGTGACCAAGACCAAACTAGGTAGCTATCATTGACGCCTAAAATTTTCTACTTGATTACAAAGAATGACTCCTACAATTATCTGCCAGCATCACACATTATACAGTTTTGGAAGGTTGCATTCATTTTACATAATATTTAGTCTTTAGACCTTATACTTTTAGCATTTAACTTGAAATCACCTTTTTAATGAAAACTTTTGATAAAGCATTTCAAATATTACTTGTAGGAAGTTATGGCTTTAGTGTGGTCAACCTGAGAGAGGAACAGCTTATTTCATTAGGGGTAAATAGAGGAAAATGTCTTTTGTTCTCTGATTTTCATGGCAGGGGTTGGGTATTATCTGTGTTTCCTGTCAGCTGCCCATCTGCACTGAACTTCTAAGGCTCTGCTAAGCTTTAGCCTACTTAGGATGACTCATTTTCTCCTTAAAATAATATAGAGAGATTTTTCTCCCTGAAACAGCATAGATATATTTTTCTCTGCAAGTCTGTGGTTCGGCCTGCTTACTGTTTTCTGAATCTTTGCTAATACTTCCCTAGATATGACAATCAAAAAGGGCTAGGGAAAGGGAATGCTATGAGAGGCTTTACCATATTTACCTTCTAATTCTTTTGTTATCATCAGGCATGTCAATATCTGGGCCGAGTTGGTAATGAAGTAGTTCAGTACCAAAGAGATCATATTCCAAGTAGCAGCCAAGTTGAGCAAACTCCAAGAGCTCTTTCTTATCAAGAATAGTCCTAGAAACAATGCGACAGATGAACTGTTATTATGAAGAGCCCATTTTCCACATGTACATACTAGAAGTTTTAAGCACACAATGTACAAGAACAAGAACATAGTTGAAGTCGAGTAACAGACACTTCTGAAATGGCTCTTAATGATGTGAGTATAAAACAGTAAGTTCAATTTGTTACTAGAAATAACAGAACTTACTCATCTAAAAAGGAGTTTTCCCCTCTAAAGTACTTGGGTACTACAGACTTAGTTTAATGATGCTTCCATTATTCCAGAGCAAGTTTGGAATTCTCCCTCAGAACTGTGTTCAGAAGATGCCCCCACACTATTTTGAGAATCCTTAATGGGGTAAATTTTCATCCTCTAAAGACTGCTATGAACTGTGAAAACTATTAAAGGAAATCTGGCCTCAGGTCTGGTGAATTAGGTGAGTAATGCTAATCTGGGTAACACATGAGGCTTTGCCTTGTGGTAGCAGGGTGATTTTCTTGTGAAGATTGTAAAGTGGTTCTAAAATTAATTCTAAAGCCTTTAAAGAATATCATTCCCACATTTTCTTGAAGGCACAATACTCATACAGATATTTATGCTCTGGAGTGCTTATTTTTTAAATAAAATTTATTATTTTATGATAAATTTTATGGATATCTTCTCATTTCAATAGATGTCATATAAAGAATGTAACTATTTTAGGATGTAAGATTATGTAAATGAAAGGGAAAGGAGAGAAATGTAAGACAAGTACAGGCTACAGACAAGCGTAGAGTACAGAGCAAGAGTAGATTATATCAAGAAATTTGCATTATAACAAGTAAAAAGAGATGCACTAAGGTAACCCCAAAATACCACTGTAGAGATCCAATCACACAGAGAGCTAAGAAGGAATAAAAACATCCTAGCAGAAAACAATATGGGAAAAAAAAAGTGAAGGAAAAATATACCCCATTAGACATTTCATGAAGGGAAGGAAGACATTGCATGAAGGGAATGAAGGAAAAATATACCCCATTAGACATTGCATGAAAGGAATGAAGGACCTAGAGAAATGTAAGGGATCGTTTCGGATCGGAAATTGGCGTGGAGATGAGTTGGGAACATTAGACAGTCATTGTCTTATTGGCTTTTTATCCATGCTGATATTTCTATTACTTTGGCAACTCCACGATGTGAGGATTAAAGCACTACTTTGTGGCAGGGTGCGGTGGCTCAATCCCAGCAGTTTGTGAGGCCGAGGTGGGTGAATCACTTGAGGTCAGGTGTTCCAGACCAGTCTAGCCAACATAGTGAAACCACGTCTCTACTAAAAATACAAAAATGGCTGGGTGTGGTGGCTCACACCTGTAATCCCAGCACTTTGGGAGGCTGAGGTGGGTGGATCACCTGAGGTCAGGAGTTCAAGACCAGCTTGGCCAACATGGCGAAACCCCATCTCTACTAAAAATACGAAAAATTAGCTGGGCATAGTGGTGGGTGCCTGTAATCCCAGCTACTTGGGAGGCTGAGGCAAGAGAATTGCTTGAACCTGGGAGACGGAGGTTGCAGTGAGCTGAGATCACACTATTGCACTCCAGCCTGGGCAACAGAGTGAGACTCTGTCTCAAAAGACAAAAACAAAAACAAAACAAAAATTAGCTGGGGGTGGTGGCAGGCACCTGTAATCCCAGCTACTCGGGAGGCTGAGGCATGAGAATCACTTGAAACCAGGAAGTGGAGGTTGCAGTGAGCTGAGATCGTGCCATTGCATTCCAGCCTGGGTGACAGAGCAAGACTCCATCTCAAAAAACAAAAAGCACTAATATGTGGCTGGGTGTGGTGGCTCACGTCTGTAATCCTAGCACTTTGAGAGGACAAGGTGGGTGGATCATTTGAGGCTAGGAGTTTGAGACCAGCCTGGCCAACATGGTGAAAACCCATCTCTACTAAAAATACAAAAAAAAAAAAAAAAAAAAAAAAAAAGCACTATCATGTGTCCATGAATCTACTTCTAAGAGGTCAGAAGTATTTTCAGAGATTTTTTTTTTTTTTTTTTTTTTGAGACAGAGTCTCCCTCTGTCGCCCAGGCTGGAGTGCAGTGGCGTGATCTCGGCTCAATGCAACCTCCACCTCTCGGGTTCAAGTGATTCTCTTGCTTCAGCCTCCCGAGTAGCTGGGACTACAGGTGTGTGCCACTGCTCCCGGCTAATTGTTGTATTTTTAGTAAAGACGGGGTTTTGCCATGTTGGCCAGGCTGGTCTTGAACTCCTGACCTCAGGTGATCCACCTGTTTCAGCCTCCCAAAGTCCTGGGATTACAGGTGTGAGCCACCGCACCTGATCAAAGCTTTTCTTATAAACCACAGGAGAACCAATTAAGCCTCCCTGTGCCACGGGTGCGGGAAGTTTCTCCTTTCCTGTGAGATTCCTGGGAGTTGACTACTGACTTTCATTCTGAGCTATCATACCCTGGCTGGCTCCTTTTCATTTATTCACCAAATTAGCATAACTTAGAGTTCACGATGTTGTTTTAGGCAGGGAGGCTAAAAAATCTTTCCTTTCTACTATAAAATGTACATTAGTTCTGTGCTATCTTCTATTAATACTACTCATTTTCCATCTTCTTACCATGGAGACCATCTTTTGCTTCCAAAATTACTAGGCTGAAAGAATATGTGTTTTTCTATAGAAAACATATTCTGTTTTCCCCAAAGAACCATACTTGAAAAAAACAAAATATACACAATTAAAGTAATGTAAGCGGGAAGAGGTAAGTTTAGTATTTTTCCTTTTGAGTAAATTCAGTGTGTTAATTATCCAATATGGGCAGGGTACTGGGGGAGGGCAGGAGTCAGCACGGAAATGGAGTCACCAGTTACAGGTTGGATCATACTCTTATTTCTGCTCCTAATGTCTTTTTCTGTCCTTTGGCCCAATGCCTTGAGAATAACTTTCCTAAATTTTCAGTGCTATATCGAGGCATATACTTAGTGAAAAGTCCGTGGTAAATGTAAAGCCTTAGAAAACTCTTTAGCCTTAGCTCCAATTGAAAATAAAAAGTAAAGTCACTTAGCATCATTATCATCATGCTGACAATTATGAGAACTTACTATGTGTCTGACATTGTGCAAAGTGCATTATATGTATTATCTCATTTAATACCCTCCATGATCCCAGCAGCTCTCAATTCTGAAGACTGAGAAACTGGGACTTGATTAGATAGTCACTCAAGGTGATGTGCTAGAATTTAAATTCATCTCAAAGTTAGAACTTACGCTGTAAACCACCATACTGTATGGCTTCTCCTATTGCTAAATATTGTTTTTTACTCAAAGGACATTTTCCAGAATTACAATGACTGAATGTGCACAGAGTGTGCTTTAATTTTTAATTTGAAATTTCCTCCCCGTGGTACCCTCACACTGCACTTGAAAAATGGAGAATTTACCATCAAAGGGTAGTATGGGGGGAAGAAAGTGAAAATCCCAGAAAGGTAAGAAAGGATTCACTTGTGGAGATTTTTAACTGCTAAGTCAGAGGGTAACTATATATAGTAAGCAGGATTAAATCTTTACAGTTATTTTAGACAATTTGAATGACATGATCAAAGAGAAAGGAACTATGGTAATCATGACAACTGCTTACTTTCTTACTATGGGGTGTGTGTGTGTGTGTGTGCATGTGTGTGTGTGTGTGTGTGTGTGTGTGTGTGTGTGTGTGTAGTTATTCATTTTTTTAACTGACATATAGTGATATGACCCCCTCTGGATAACTAAACACTAGTGTGAAGTCAACTAAGAAATGAATATTACAAATATTGGCTGAGCATGGGGGCTCACACCTGTAATCCCAGCACTTTGGGAGGCTGAGGCAGGTGGATCATTTGAGGTCAGGAGTTCAAGACCAGCCTGGCCAACATGGTGAAACCCTGGCTTTACTAAAAATACAAAAATTAACTGGGTGTGGTGGCACGTGCTGCAGTCCCAGCTACTCAGGAGGATGAGGCAGAAGAATCGCTTGACCCTGGAAGGCAGAGGTTGCAGTGAGCCGAGATCGTGCCACTGTACTCCAGCTTGGGTGACAGAGTGAGACTGTGTCTCAAAAAACAAAAATAAAAAAATAAAATAAAAGAGGAATGGGGAGATGGCAGGCATGGTGGCTCACGCCTGTGGTCCCAGCTACTTGAAAGGCTGAGTGAGGAGGATTGCTTGAGCCCAAGAGTTCAAGGCTGCAGTGACCTATGGTCACACCACTAGACTCCAGCTTGGGTGACAGAGTGAGCCCCTGACTCTAAAAAAAGAAATATAAACAAATAAAAAATAAAAGATGAATAGGGACTGTAGGGACCCAATTCTCCAGATGCAATGAAATATAAATGTTACCTACGTTATAAACGTTCACTGAAGAATCTCACAATAAGCAGAGATGTCTTTCTAGAGGAAGACTAACACTGTCCCATAAGATTCATCCACACATGTAAGTTTCAAAAGTAACCCCTGGCCGGGCACATTGGCTCACTCCTGTAATCCCAGCACTTTGGGAAGCCAAGGTGGAAGGATCCCTTGAGCTCAGGAGTTTGAGACTAGCCTTGGAAACAAAGCAAGACCCTGTGTCTACAATGAAACTTTAAAAATTAGCAGGGTGTGGTGGTGTGTGCCTGTGGTCCCAGTTGCTCAGGAGGCTGAGGTGGGAAGATCATTTGAGCCCAAGAGTTTGAGGCTGCAGCGAGCTATGGTCGCACTGCTGCACTCCAGCCTGGGTCGCACTGCTGCACTCCAGCCTGGGTGACAGAGTGAGACCTTGTCTCAAAAAAAAAAAAAAGTAATCCCTATGAATTCTTATCCGCTCAAAAACTTATATAAAGCGGAGTGACTTTGGGGAAGCTGGTTCCTCTGTTAAAATGCTCTTAAAAATTTCATGATCACACGTGAGGGGAGATTGCTTCAGAAGGGAAGCAATTAGGCTGATATTTTAGACATTAGGAAAATGCAGTTAAAAAAAAAGGGGCAAGGCCAGATGCAGTGAGTGGCTCATGCCTGTAATCCCAGCACTTTGGGAGGCCAAGCCTCTGGGAGGGTTGCTTGAGCCCAGGAGTTTGAGACGAAACACAGAGAGACCCTGCCTCTATAACATAAACAAACAAATAGAAAGAAAAAGAGGGGAAGAGAAATTTGCTGTCATAAAAAAAACCAAGACATACATACATATATATGCAGTTTTTTTTCTGATTTTTTAACTGACATTTATTGATATGACCTCCTTGGGGTAACTAAACATTAACGTGAAGGCAATTAAGAAATGAATTCAGCTGCAGACAGTGGCTCATGCTTGTAATCCCAGCACTTTGCGAGGCTGAGGTGGAAGGGTCACTTGAGCTCATGAATTCCAGACCAGCTTGGGCAACATGGCAAAACCCCATTTCTAACAAAAATACAAAAAATCAGCCAGGTGAGGGTGGTGCACACCCGGGGTCCCAGCTACTCGGGAGACTGAGGTGGGAGGATTGTTGGAGCCCGGGAAGTTGAGGCTGCAGTGAGTCACGATCAAGCCACTGCACTCCAGCCTAGGTGACAGAGCAAGCGAGACCCTGTCTCCAAAATATAAATAAATAAATAAATAAAATAATTAAATTAAAAATAAAAAAGGGAATGAATTCCTTTAAATTCTTCTTATTGACAAAGCAAACTGAGTGCAAAATTCAGGGGAAGAAAATAGTGTGAGTGATCACACAGGTTTTCAAAGGAAAGTCCTGAAAATAAGTAGTATGTGGTATGAGATATTAATAAGGGGTGGGACGGGAAACAAGAAAATCAACACCTGATAGTCATCAGGTATTTAATACAGCCCCAGCTCATTTAATCCTTACAGAAGCTCTATCAGGAAGGTGTGACTGTCCCCATCTTACAGATGAGGACTTTAAGTCTCAGAAAAGATAAACTCAGGTCTCAACCTGAAGAGCTTCAAACAAACCCAAACTGCTTTTGTGTTGAGGCCGTGTTCTTAAACCAGGCTGCCCCTCCAGGGGTAAGAACACCCAGGCACCAGGGCAACTCCGTTCCTCCTCCAAGGCACTCACACTACGGAGACACACTCACCATCGTAGTGACATCTAGGAACAAGCACCTTGCGCCGTGAACGTCTAACAAGGTGACTTACCCATGTGAAATTGACATTCAGCTGGATGGCTTCCAGGGACTGCCAAAGCGCTACTGAAGTTGCATTTATGCAAGTGACTTTCTTTTTCACTTGGAGAGGGTTGACCCCTAATGTCAGTATATTACCATGGGAAAATGAACTCTGTGTGCCATCCAGCAGATGAGGATTAAACAGAGGTCCTGTCCCTCCCAGTCACCAATGATCTCATAGCACATCTTAGAAGAGTGGAGGTGCTAACCTCAGCCAGTTTTCCTCATTCTGCATTCTATATCCATGAATACTTCTTGAGAGTTGTTTTTTATTTTAGTTTTTTGAGACAGTCTCGCTCCGTCACACAGGCTGGAGTGCAGTGGCGCGATCTTGGCTCACTGCAGCTTTCATCTCCTGGGTTCAAGCGATTCTCCTGCCTCAGCCTCCCGAGTAGCTGGGATTACAAGTGCCCACCACCACACCCAGCTAATTTTGTATTTTTAGTAGAGATAGGGTTTCGCCATGTTGGCCAGGCTGGTCTCAAACTCCTGACCTCAGCTGATGCGCCAGCTGATCTGCCTGCCTTGGCCTCCCAAAGTGCTGGGATTACAGTGTGAGACACTGCGCCTGGCCATCCATGAATAATTCTATTCTTTCTTACTCCAATCTTTCCCAGCTTTTAAGGTCGGTATTTTTCACTTCTTCCCCTGAAAAGTCAGTGAAGTGATTGTGACGCACAGAAGAGCTACCGCATTTCACACTGAAGAAAAGTCCCATCTTCAAGGTGGATGAAATGATTGCAATGTCATTTACAAAACATCCTGGGATTTCCCAGAAGGAAGACCAGATTTTGGTATCAAGTACTTGTTCATGTCATTCATATGATATCATTTCCTCTGCTGCATATTTTATACTTTTGCTCAACTAGTAAGTAACTTTTCTGTATATAAGAAACAGGCATAAATTTAGGGAAAATAAATTGTCATCAGCTAAAAAAAAAAATGGTGTCCAAAGTGATTCGGCTCTTTATTGTCAGAATACAGTTATCATATACCCAGTTTCTTAAGGCTGGTACTATAATGCAAGACAGGTGATTCTATTTTCAACCCCCTTTTATATTCTAGATCTTATCCATATGCTGAGGGGTTTAGTTTAATGTCAAAATGCACTCTGTGTGGGAGAAAGGAAGTCTGCATGAAGTGATAATTTAGACAAGGGTCTGTGGGCTCCCTAGCTAGAAAGAACTAAGGAGCAGAGGAAAGAATTTGATCCGTGGGTAGGATCAAGATAACAAAAGCACCTACCATTTGTCTTGGGCTTTACAGTTTCAAATAACTCTCAGGTATATTATTTCATTTCACACATTGAAACACACCTTCATAAATTAATTCAGTGAACATCTACTATCAGCTATCTTGTGCTATTCTCTGTGTTAGGAATATAGACACGAATAAGAAATTTAAGATGCTGTCTCAAGGAAATTAAAGTCTGCAGAAGGAAGATGTTTAAGCTAATAATTATAGTTAAATGTGCTAAAAAACATTGAAGTACAAATAAATACACAGTATTGCGAACGAAGAATGAAGCACTTAATTTTTTTCACTTGATTCACTTTGATTCATTTGAGTTGAGTCTTAAAGGACACCATTTAGACAAATGTTGGTAGGGATCAAGATGAATGATCCAGAGAGGCTGGGCATATGGCTCATGCCTGTAATCCCAGCACTTTGGGAGGCCAAGTCGAGTGGATTACCTGAGGTTAGGAGTTTGAGACCAGCCTGGCCAACATGGTGAGACCTCGTCTCTACTAAAAATACAAAAATTAGCCAGGCATGGTGGCAGGCACCTGTAATCCTAGCTACTTGGGAGGCTGAGGTAGGAGAACTGCTGGAACCCAGGAGGCAAAGGCTGCAGTGAGCCGAGATCGCGCAACTGCATTCCAGCCTGGGTGACAGTGTGAGATTTCATCTCAAAAAAAAAAAAAAAAAAATCCAGAGAACCACCTGCTGAGAGGCAAAAAGGGAGCTTGCTGTTCCTGAATATAAGGGTGTAGTTTATCAGAGGAAGGGGAGAAGAGAGGGGAATCATCCATCCATCTATCCATCCATCTATCCATCATTCCATTTAACAAGAAATTGTTGATCACCTACTTGCAATCAGCCATGAGCTGGGAAAGCAAACACAAATAACACCAGTCCCATCTTGGAAGAATTTCAGTATCTACTGTGGAAAAGAGACACGGAAACAAATACTTGCTATACAGAATTTACCAAGTGTCATGGTAAGAGTGCTGCTAGGAACTAGGTTGGCAAAGAGAAGGAGATATCAAACAGTGGTTGGCTGTTTCTGGAAAAGCTTCATAGAGGAGAAAACCCCTGGTGAATTGCATTCTGAAGAAAGATTCTGCTAAATAGATAAGGGGAAATAGAACATTCCTAGCAGAGAGAATAGCATGTGTGAGATGCATATAAGGACAACCAATACAGGGCACTCAAAGACATGGTCAGTGTGGCTTTGGCTCAGAGACTGTGTGCATACTGGGAATAACGAGAGATAAGGTGGAGGGAGGCGAGGGAACCAGAAGACCAAGACCTTCGGATTTTGTGCCTGAGGCAAAGGTGACCCATTGGAGGCTTTTAAGTCAGGATCAGGGATATAATTAGATTTGCCTTTGGAAAGATCTGGTGGATTGTGGAGGCTAGATCTGGGACCAAAACTAAGGGAGGGATTTGTGTTTGGAGACTTATAATAATTCAAATGATAAATGAGGGGCTGAATTCAGAGAACACCAGAGGAGTGGACAGGAGAGCTTGTATCTGGAGGTCTTTAGGCTAACAGCTGGGTAAATAGCGCTGTTATTAGCCAGATTACGGAGCACAGCAGCAAGAGTGAAGGATGAGGCATTGGCACCACAGGGACAGCCACGCAGGAGGAGAATCACAAGCCTGTCTTGCTTGGGCAACTGATTAGATGTTGGCACCATTAAATAACAAGAACAAGGAGCAGGCTGTGAAACTCACAATAGACTGGTGAAATAATTATGTCACGTATTAATGTCACTGCACAAATAAAGAAAGGAAAGCATGGGTGTTCTTTAAAGTGACCCACAATGCAGGTATTCCAACTCCTAATCTAGTGCCCTTTCCATTGTGCTGAGCTTTGATTTAATTGTAACTCCTCAGCCATTTGACTCTGTGAATTCCTTGGGCAAGTGGTGGGCCTGTGAGGGCAGCTCTATGTGGCTCATGGAACTAGCTCAGGCCCTGACATCTGAATTTATGCATCATAAATTGCATTCCCTGATAAAACTTACAGACTTGATCAAGTATGTTTTAAAAATTGGCATACAAATAAAATAACAACAGAATGCTTATATATACAACTGATTTATTGAAAAAATTGTTGAATTTCAGTGACTGATCATTAAAAATTGTTTACCAAAAAAGTAATTGAAGGTTGGGCATGGTGGCTCACGCCTATACTCCCAGCACTTTGGGAGGCTGAGGTGGGTGGATCACTTGAGGTCGATAGTTTGAGACCAGCCTGGCCAACATGGCAAAACCTCGTCTCTACTAAAAATACAAAATTGGCTGAGCGTGGTAGTGCACGCTTGTAATCTCAGCTACTTAGGAGGCTGAGGCACAAGAATCGCTTGAACCTGGGAGGTGGAGGTTGCAGTGAGCTGAGATGGTGCCACTGCACTCCAGCCTGGGTAAGAGAGCAAGACACTGTCTCAAAAAAAAAAAAAAAAAAAAGTAATTCCAAAAAATCTTTGTACTCCTCCCCCTTGAGTTTATCAATTTAGAACCAATGAATATTTGTACAGCTATGTGGAATTCTTATTTTTTTAAAGTTTTTCAACAACTACTTAAAATAATTACTAAACTCAGCTAGAATTATAGACTTAATAACCTAAAATTAATTTTAAAATGTTTATAATGCAATATTTAAAAAAAGCAAATTACTATAATTGAGTGATTGTAACCTAATTTACTATACTCTAATTTGATATTAACATAATTTTAAAACATTATTCATGTATATTCTTACACTGCTAATGACAGCTCCACTGCAACTATGAGAGCTGAGAAATTCTTAATTGAAGAAATTTAACTGATCTCAATTAATTAAAAATAAATTTAAATGTCAAAAATAGAAAGTAAATAGAGATGATGTAAGTTTTTAATGTGTGGTCTAAATATTGCCTATGATTAAAAATATGTAATTTGCTACTTCCACTAATAATTTGCCAAGAATTTTAGTTTGATCCAGACCCAAGCCAAAAATGAGAGTGGTACGTTTGCATTAATGTACTAGTTTATGACCAAATACGTAGGTATTTCAAAGATTTATTTTTTATGGGATTCTTTTTGCACGGAGGCATGACTTTCATTGAACAATATTTTTGATATTGGAGAATAACTGGGAATGAAAAATAAAATAATTCAGTATGCTATTATCCATATTTTAACAAGCATCTCCCCCCATCACTTATTCAGTTCTCTGACTGCTTGGGTCGCTAAAGAAATGTTTAATGACATCATAAGGAAGGAGTGACGTCACCCTTTCAATATTATGACTTAAGTGTAGGCTTAAGCAAAAGGAACAGATGGCTGCAAGAGAGAAAAACCCTTGTTTAAATTAGACTAAACCCAGAAGTTGGCTCCGAATTACAAAGTGTAATTAAAACTTTATTTTAGAATGCATTTCACAGTTTATACATCCCAGGAAGAGCTTTTTACCATACGAACTCTTCAGCTACCACATAGCACAAAAGAGGTTGCGTTTTTCATGTAAGGCGATACACGGTTCAGGGAATGACGGTATTGAGGAGAGTGAAGATAAATCTCACAGACCTGGCAATCCTATTTGTTAAAATGTCACATTTCATGGGAATGGTGTCAGAGTTATGAAAAATTGCTTTAGAAAAAAAATTACTCGTGGAAGGCTTTGGTGGGTAGAATGTACTGGATAGAGCACATGGCCAGCGTTTCCCTTTCACCAGGAAGGCAGGTCTGCCCAAAATAGTATAATCTGGAATACTCCACAATTAATTATTAATTATCACCATAACTTTATTGCATTTTATTTGGCACTATTTATGAATATACAGAATTTTGGTGCATTTTACTTTGTCAGATATTTGCCTGGATTTCTTTCTGTTTCCTTTTTTCCTTCTTTCTTTCTCTTCTCCCTCCCTCCCCTTCCTTCCATCCTTTCTGCCTCCCTCCCTCTCCCTTTCCCTTTCTTCCTTCCATACGTTCTGCATGTTGAGAGAAAATACACAGTAAACAATAACTAGGGCAGGGGTGGGGAAATTTTGCATAACACTTTAGGGTTAAAAATAATTTTTCTGGCCGGCTCAGTGGCTCAAGCCGGTAACCCCAGCATTTTGGGAGGCCAAGGCAGGAGGATCACTTGAGGAAGGAGTTCAAAATTAACTTGGGAAACATAGCAAGTCCCTGTCTCTTTTACTCTTAAAAATTTAAAAAAAAAATTGTTTTTAAGAATAAAAGAAACTCAGTGTCATATTCATAGGATTCTAGATGTTACAAACAAATACATGCACATAGCATTCCAATTATTCTCAAACACCCCTGTACTACTTAACGATATCACGATGTTTTGCTCAGTTTCAGTTTGTCAAACATTTGCTTGGAATTGTTTTTGAATGACTTCCCGTTAATTCACGAATATTCAGAGGGATTAAATGTGTGTAAGTTCCAAGGAAACCAAATAATTATTTTTTGTGGTTTTTCACAGAAAACCTTAAGGTTAAAAATCACCATAATTATAATTAAATAATGACTTTGAAGGCAGAGAGTGGGTTGTTCTTCAGGCTACAGCCCAACGTCTGGTATATGGTAATTAGACATGCAAGTATTTGTGGAATGAATGAATGATGTGATATCCCACTCTCTTATTTCATCTAATTAAGAGCATGAAAAACATATCAAAATTATAGCTTTCCAAGAGTTTGGCCAATTTGGCACGAATGATCAGAGGCAAAGGGAATAAAATGTGCTGTCGGCCAGTTCCCTAAATGTTTCCCTCTTGTTGTCTTTCAGAAACCCTTAGGTCAATTCCTCTACCTTCCTCAGCTAGGAATTTTCAAAGACAGTGATGCGCTATTTTCCTTCACTTAATTATCATTGTGCCCTTAATCAAACTCTAGGCCCTGGATTTCTATCAAAGCCCTTTGGCTTGTTGAATAGATAACCAAGTAGAAAAAAGATTCAGGCACACAGCACCTGTCTGTTTCCCCTCCAGGGGGCTCAAAAATTAATCAGTAAATAGTTGCTACCCAAATACCTGCCAGCCATGCTGTTTTACTCAGCTTTCATTGGTAAAGAATTTTGTCGTCATAAAAATACCTACAGCTACTCTAATAGTCCATTAAGGATAAAATCTCCTTGAAGATGAATGGCAAAAAGGATATATGTGGGGTGTTGTTTTTTTTAATCGCATCTAGCCTGTATTAGACCGGAGGCCAAGGCAGTGCTATCATTACACGTCACCTGGACACGTGGGTAGAGTTTTAACAGGTAGTAAAATTATAGTAAGTGATTGAAAGGCAGAAAGCCTTCATAGATTAAGACCAAACAGGAACACTTAAGTGCCAGGTGCTCTTTTCCAATAAATGTTGACTTTGGGTGGCTGTAACTATCAAGGGCAGCCCCCTGCAATGTTCCCTAGGGTTAAATTCACAGCAACCAACAGGCCCATGTTTCTTAAAGGGAGCAGATGGTTAGGGGACGGCCTAGACACAGAAGCAGATTTATCTTGTCAAGCTGTTATCTCCTAGTAAATGACCTTAAGCAGGTCACCAACGGTCACATGACAACAATGTAGTTAAGAGGTCTCCTAAGGTGATGGCCATTCATTAACTCTTCCCTCTCAGGGTCCCAAATGCCCCTTTTGGATAGCCATGTAGCAATTTGTTGTTGTTGTTGTCACAATGAGTGTATGTGTGTGTGTGTGTGCACCCATACAAATGCATGAATCCTAATGAAGATTGTATATCTTCAAAAATATTTACCTGCTTCAATGTGATTGGGGGCACACTGTAATATTTTATTTTTGTATACTGAAATGATGGAAATACTACTTTAAAGGGGAAAAATAAACTGATCATGGGTAGGTAAGACTGAGGGTCAGTCCCATTGGAGAGTCCCAGCATTCTGGAGGGGGCTATGAAGCACAGCGACGGCCTGATTATCTTCCAATCACAAGGTAGCCTCAGATCTTTTTTTTTGGTTTTTAATGTCTGAAAAGGCATGATGGGGGAAATGAAATGATTTGCCATTTTGTCTTGGTTTTTATTTTTTGGAGGCCTTGTTTTGGGGATGCAGGTCTGTTTCGTGAGGCTTCTGTGCATTTCGTTGCATGAAATACATGCCCTTTGTGATTTGTCCCCGTTACAGAAAGCTGAAGTCCTTGGCCTTTCAGTACGGCTCAGATCGTATGCACAGCCCTGCAGACCTCAGAGAGTCTGTGAGAGGCTGACCCAGTCAAACTTCAGCATGGCCACTGTCTTGCTGTGAACAGCCACTTCAAAGAGCTAACAATGCCTGCATCTGCCTCCCTGATTATTTTTTTCTGTTACTTTATTCGGTATGTTTTTCCGAATGCACTGCTTTTTCTAAAGCCATGTTCCCTAGCTGCCTCCCTTCTGAAATGCTCATACTTTCATGTATGTCTTTTTCATGCACTGGAACCGTGAATAATCCATCAGATAGGTACAGAATGGATGGCTGCTCTAGCGATGGTCTCAGAATTTTCTAGAATGTTCTGAGTTTGTCTGATGTCAGGTCAACCTTTCCATTCTGTTCTGACCCATTCTAGAGAGATATATTGAAACTGCAGCCAAATGGAAATCTGGTAATGTATCTTTATTGTTTAACAGAAAAAAAATACATATGTGTGTGTATATACATAAATATATACATATGTGTATATATAGGTGTAGTGTATACATATATGTATATCACTAGGCAATAAAGAAAACATTTGCAATTTATATATTGTTTGATTTTATGAGCAGGGAAATACTACTGTGGTAGAAGTAAGGGTTTATTTCACATTTTCCAGTGAAAGCTTGTTTTCTATTTGTGCCAAGCATAATTTTCTAACTTACATACATGTCTAACTGTAAATAGATGGAGATAGAAAGCTTCTTCTTTACGAATCATCTTGAGCCAGTTTCAAGCAGTATGGCAGACTAGATGTTCACAGAAAACCTTTCCAGCAGAATGCATGTAAAATACTACATTATATTGAAGAGAGAGAAAAAAAACACCCTATTTTGAAATGCTTGGTTTAGCTGGTGGGAAAGTAACACTTACTTGCTCGCGGGACAGAGACAACAAGAGAGCTGAGAAAATGAGGAATAAGTTGAGACCTAGAGCTAGCATTTGCCTAAAAGGTATTAATGAACCAAGTAAGACAGAGCTTGGGCTTGAACTGAGTAGGAGATCAGACTGGAGACATATAAAGGGCTACTCCCTTTATATGGAAGGCAACACCCTTGAGGATGAAGTAGGTAAAAACTTGCCCCATATACAGTTTTTGGAGATTACAGATGGTCCCTGGCTAGTTCACCTTAATGCTTTTTGGACTTTACAATGGCGTGAATGCAATACACATTCACTAGAAACCGTACTTCAAGTACCAAGAGAAACATTCCGTTTTCCACTTTCGGTACAGTATTCAATACATTATATGAGCTGTTCAACACCTTATTATAAAATAGGCTTTGTGATAGATGATTCTGCGGAAGTATAGGCTAATGTAAGGGTTCTGAGCATGTTTAAGGTAGACTACGTTAAGCTGTAGTGTTCAGTGGGTTAGGTATATTAAATGCACTTTCAGCTTACAATATTTTTGACTTACAATGGGTTTATTGGAACATAACCCATCTTAAGTCAAGGGGTATCTGTATGTATCTTTCTCAGTCTTGTCTTCTAGTGAAAGGAAGGTAAGTTGAGAAAAAGTCTCCCTTGAGAATCCATAGCCCCATTCCTGCACTTGCTAAGCTGAGGGGTCAGAACTCATAGCACCTGTGTGGGTCTAAGTCTCTCAAGTCTAAAATTTAGTTTAAACAGTCACAAAAAGCTTTATGTGATTCCATCTACATGAGGTACCTAGAGTAGTCAAATTCATAGAGACAGAAAGTAGAATGGCGTTTGTCACAGGCCATGGGGAGTGAATACACTCAACATTACTGAACTGTACATTTCAAAATGTTTAAAAGATGATAAATTTTATGTTATGCACATTTTACCACAATTAAAAAATTTAGTATAAAGTGTCCCACGTAAGTAGTGCCACAACTGCCTACCAGAAATAAAAAATAAATAACCAAAAAAAAAAAACCAGGGGTAAGAGGAAACCAACCTAATACTCATAATAATTTCCAAGATGTCTGATGTTACAACAAAAAATTGTACTCTAAAACATAAGGAAATAACCTCCTATCAATGACAGCCAGAAGAACTAGTAAACTATATCAGAGTAAAACAAAGGCAGTAGAAGTTAGATTTATCAATTACAAGTTATACATTGTATGTTTAATATTTTTTTAAAGGTTGAATCGAAACCATGTTGAAAGGAACATAAATGATCAAAATTAACCAAGCAGATTTGAAAAGTAACCAACTAGAACTTAATAGGTAACAGAAAAACCATGTAGTTCTCAACATTATAAACCAAATATATTGGCTAAGTGACAGATTGATTCCGTTGGAAAGAGAAGTAGTAAATAGGAAGATCAAACTGAAGAAATTATAGCTCAGTGATGCACGTGGATGGAAATATGAAAGAGGTGTTAAGAAATACAGAGTATAGGTAAGAAAGCCCTACATATATCAAATTGGAGTTTGTGATACAGATGATAAATAACATGTGAGTGAAACAGTATTTAAAGAGATAATGGCTGAGGCTTTTCAGAAACAATGAAAGGTACATCCTTACATTCAGGAATCCCAAGGAATGCCAAGCACGCAATTAAAAGAAATTTATGACCAGGTACAATGGCATATGCCTATAGTCCCAGAACTTTGAGAGGCCAAGACGAGTGACTTGCTTGAGCTCAGGAGTTTGAGACCAGCCTCGGCAACAGGGCAAGAACCTATCTCTACAAAAAATATAAAAATTAGCCAGGTGTGGAGGCACATGCCTGTAGTCCCAGCTTCTTGGGAGGCTGAGGTTGGAGGATCACTTGAACTTGGGAGGGTGAGGCTGCAGTGAGCCAAAATCATGCCACTGCACTCCAGCCTGGGCAACAGAGAGACAGACTCTCTCTCTCTCTCTCTCTCTCTCCATATATATATATATATTTAAATTAGTAGAAATGCAGAATACTTGAACATGATAAATGATTATGTTCTAATAGACATATAGAACAATTACACTGTATAATAACTGCAGAATGCAACGCTTTTAAGAATCTAAAACATTTTATAAAATTTAAAAGTATTAGTGTAATACATTTTTGAAGGTATGAGGTACTTCACAATGTTTAAAAAGTATCATCCTTACTCAGTAAATGTGCTACATATATCCCATATCATACAAGGCAACATTATAAAATACATTGTTTTAAATTCAAATTAAGCTGTCCAAGATGTTACACCAATGAGAGTTAGAATTCAAAGTTCTCACTGGGTCCAAAGAGTCTAGTTTTCACAGTCTGATGCATTGTCTCTGTGACCAGTATATAGAAGCATGCCTCTACTTTATCAGTGCAACCAGAAGATTCCTCAAGATAGCCAAGTATGGATCTTGATACCAACCTGGTTGCCAGGAGAATTACCTTTATCCTATTATGCCTCAGTTTCCCCATTAATACTGACTTCTCTGTTCTGCTATAACTACAACTTGTTTATATTTCCTGCACATGATTTCACAGTATTTTTTATTAAGTAAAAGAATTTTTTTTTTCTTGAGACAGGGTCTTGCTCTGTTGCCTAGGCTGGAGTGTAGTGGTCATGGTTCACTGCAGCCTCATAAGGAGAGGCATTTTATCAATACATTTTGCAGGACTGTTAGTTTATGAAATAGCAATCTGTCTGGTCTGATAATCAGGATTTATCAATATGTTAATATGGCTTTACTCCAATAGGCAAGATAGAAGTAACTATAATATATTATTAGTCTCACTGGTGCTGTATTAATTCTATAATAAATTCAACTGAAGGCTAATGAGTAGCCTTAGCAACAGTTAGACTTGTTCATAAAATTAACAGCAGCTGGCATTTCTTCATTTAGTCATTCATTTTACTGTCCCCTATGCATCTAAAATAATATGTAGGGATTAAATGGTGAACCCCAACAAGATAGGTCCATATTCTAACTCTTGGAACCTCTGAAAGTGACATTATTTGGGGAAAAGGTCTGCAGATATAATTAAGTAAATGATCTGAGATGAGATTATTCTGGATTATCTGGACGGGCCATAAATCCAATGGCAACTGTGGTTGTAACAAACAGAGGAGAAGACATAGACAGTGAGGAAAAGGCTATGCGAAGACAGAGGCAAAAACTGTAGTTATGCAGCCACAAACCATGGAACAGCTGGATCTGAGGCTATGGAAGAAGCAAGGAAAGATTCTCCCTGCAGCCTTTGGAGGAAGCGGGGCCCTGACAAAGTTTCATTTCAGACTTCTGGCCTCCAGAACTTTGAGAGACTAAATTTCTGTTGTTTAGGGGCACCCAGTTTGTGATAACTTGTTACAGTAGCAATAGGAAACTAATGCATGATACTACCCAACACATGCTATACTTATTACTATTATTTTTTATAATTGCATTTTCCAAAATTCAGATGATTCAAACCACAAGTGACACAAATGTGAACATTTATATTTGCGGTTTTCTTCTCTGGGTGAAACCATTGACATTCCCTCCCTTTATATGTGTGATAACTTTATTACTCCAACTACTGGTAAACATTGAGCAAGTGGAATTGGCAGCTACTTTGATAGCATCCCATGAGACAAAGAAATGAAGTAGACAGTGACACCTGTTATGAGTTATAAAGGATTGAGTAAATTAAAGGAAATGACTTATGCGAAATATCTTATGTGAAATACCTAGGACACTATCTGACACAGAGGAGGGACACAAAAATGGCAGCATTGACTTTTATTCATGTCAGTTGTGAAACTTTATAAATACTACCTTCCATATAGTTAGTGGTTTTCTCTGCGTGATTAGTATTGCATTGACTGATTACTGTAGATTCTTAATTTGATCATGCATTAATTATATGGCAGTTTGCATCCATTTGTAAGACAGCCTACTTACCTATCCAGGTGTGACATGACTGTTTTGGAGATGTCTGCGCCTGCTTCTTGCAATATTCGGATAATCTGAAATGGTGCCCTGGAGCTCCGTCCAGGATGGATAATAACAGGACAACCAAGCTGAGCCTGGGCATGAGCTGTGGCCTGGAGAACCTTTCTTTCACTCTCAGTCAAAGGCCAGGAGCAACCAATTTCTCCAATAATGCCACACTTGATACTGGTTCCATCAGCTCCATGGAGAATTTCATTCATAAGGACATCGGTAAGCTAAGGAAGAGTGAGAAGGAATATATTTTATAGGTTGTGAAATTTATCAAAATAGATCCACCACAGTATGTGAATGAATTTATTTATTTTGTCATTCATTCTTTTAAAAATGTATTCAGTATTTATCAATTAATATTGGCCAAGGAAAAAGGCATTTTGCTGGCCAAATCAAAAATCAACAAGTTGCACTAAATCCAAGATTCGATAATATCATACCATGATTATTTAACAAGAAATTTATAGCTTTAGGAAGCTGGAGGGGGACAAAGTGACTTAATGAGAGTACATTCAGGATGAAGCAAAAAAAAATCTGTAACTTAACCTGGGGAGCAGCATCTAGAATATAGAAAGACCGCCAATGAATTGAATCTATGTCCCGTGTATCAAGTCATTCTTTTTCTTTCTTCTTTGTTTTTTTTAAAGAAGCAGAGGTCTCACCATGTTACTCAGGCTGGACTTGGAACTCCTGAGATCAAGTGAACCTCCCATTTCAGGCTCCCATGTAGCTAGGACTACACGCTTGCATCACCGCACAAGGCATCAAGAAATGCTTTAATTCTCTCCTATTTATTCCAGTCTTTTATCATAGACAGCATAGAAAATTCACAGCACACTATACTACTATTAGACTTTTGGGTTCATATGTATAGTTACCACTAAAAGTGGTTGGAAGAATATATAATCCTCATCATCAGCATAGTCTTTAAACAACAAAAATACATTAAAAAAATAAAGTCCTGGTTGGAAAATAATGCAGAAAAAATTTTGAAATACAAAATACTCCAGAGAGTAAGTGATCTTTTGCAAAGAATGAGCTGACACCCTATGCCTGTCATGCAGGCAATGGAAGATACATACGAATATATACATATATGTGTAAACATGTATAAATAGATACATGTGTGTTTAGAAAGAGAACACATACACGTGCAAAAAAGGTTTTGCACCTTATTCTTTTTGTCCCTAAACAATTTACTTCCTTCTGCCCATTCTTAAGACCATATTATGACAAAACACAGGGGAATGAATTTTCTTCCACCTCTCCTGTTTTGTGAAAGGAAACTGAAACATATTCACAAATGTGCCAAGTCTTTGACTGCCAAGTTTCACCCTACAGTGAATCTTCATTGCTGGTTATTATAAAATCCAGGGTGAAAAAAAATCGAGGTAGCATAACTTAAGATGGAAAAGTGAGGTTTACAAATAGACTGTGGTGCCAATACTGAGGACAGATACGATACACACAAATCTAACTATTATCACGTTGGATTTTGCAATGACCAGTGCACTAAGATCTCTTTCCTTGACACTTATTATTATTATTTTCTTTTTTCTTTACCACAAGGCTTGCTTGCAAAATTGGCACTTTCTTTATGAAATACAGTGTTACTAACTGGGGCCCCAACTGGCAGATGTCTTTGCTAGCTAGCAAATTTCCGTAGCATGCCCAGCTACCTCTGAACCCAGGGCATTTCCAAGGTTCTGGCTGTTCTGAATTTATGAACAAATACTGTCAAAGAACTTAGGCTTTTTACCTGCTCCACTGACATGGCCCTGGTCTCTGAGGAGTGAGTTGCATCCACATAAAACCCGGCTCCAGATATGATATGGACGCCAGTCTCTTCTGCAAGCCTCTTCAACGTCTGTGTGTCTCGGCTAATCCCAGTGGTTGTGTTTTCCACCAAAGCCCCTCCACCATTAGCTTTAAAATACAACAGTTCTTCCTTTATGGCTTCTGTCTCCTGATTTAATTGAAGGTTTTCTTTATGGGAATAGGCGTTTTTCTGAATCCAATATAAATTTTTCATCACGATAGGTTCTTTGGAAATAGCTTCCTGGCACGGGGGAGGTGGACAGTAACAGCAGTCAAAGGTCATGGCCAGGTGTTCATGGGTCAGGGTACGGCCCAGTTTGCTTGGCTCTACAAGGCCCAAAACGGTTTGGACTTTTCCACTTAAGGAAGACATTTCTGATGGTACCACCAAGAGATGTTCTAAAAAGAGGATTTCTTTTTTCTAAAAACAAACAAACAAACAAACAACTACAATCAGAATATTTAACACACACATAAACTCTTGTCCGTAAGGGGTGGGAGGCTGTGAACATATACCCATGTAAGAAGGCAAATCAATAAAACTAGAGATACGATCTCACAATCCTGCCGACTTCAGAATCTATCCCCACTGCAGATCTAAGTGACGTGCGTGGTGTTAATTGCCTCCCACCCCTTCTACTGGGAGTCCTCTGCCTGAGTTAGTCCTAACCTTATCTACTGGAAATATTCTTTGATATTCAGTTCACTTTTCTTTAACTTAATTGTATCTCTTAATCATAGCTATGCATTCTTGGATAAATCAACAGTAATTGTAATTAAAAAAAAGTATTCAGAATCAATAACTTACATCCAAACTAACCATGTATCAGTACTGTTTCATTTGTCACTTTTTAGCTAAATTAAATATCCTGAAGCAACTGATCTTTCCTCCTTTTTTTTCTTTTTGAGGGAGAGTCTTGCTCTGTTGCCCAGGTTAGAGTGCAGTGGTACGATCTCAGCTCACTGCAACTTCCGCCTCCGCCTCCTGGGTTCAAGGGATTTTCCTGCCCCAGCCTCCTGAGTAGCTGGGACTACACGCATGTGTCACCAAGCCTGGCTAATTTTTGCATTTTTAGGAGATGGGGTTTCCCTATGTTGGCCAGGCTGGTCTTGAACTCCTGACCTCAGGTGATCTGCCTGCCTCGGCCTCCCAAAGTGCCTGGATTACAGGTGTGAACCATCACTCGTGGCCACAACTGATCTTTCTACTGTTCCTCCACTACCCAAGCAAACAAATTTCTGTTGAAGGTCCATGATGTGTCAGAAATTAGAGCCATAAAGAAACAAAAGACAAGATCTCTGACTCACACGACTTCATAGAATATGCCCCTCCCCAAAACAACTGAGGAGCACACTCGGTTGAATAATGAAATAACAACAAGAAACGAACCTCTTCAGGTTGAATGCTTGATTGTCTAGGGCACACAGAAACACACTTCAAAAATACTGAAAAGCAAAGATTCTTAGCCATAATGAAAGCGATTGTGATTTATTGAAACTGAAATCGGCTATCTCTAAAAAGAGCAAAGCCCTCTCTATCCTCGATTTGCTTTCATTTGTAGCACAAATTAAGTGTTCACCAATGTCTATCAGTGATACCAAGAACTCCAATTCCAGTACTTTCCTTTAAAAGTACATTTCCTTTTAAAAAATTTGTTTAAATTAAAAATTAAATGGCCAGGTGCAGTGGCTCATGCCTATAATCCCAGCACTTTTGGGAGGCTGAGGTGGGAAGATCACATAAGGCCAGGAGTTTGAGACCAGCCTGGCCAACATGGTGAAAACCCGTCTCTACTAAAAATACAAAAATTTGCCAAGTGTGGTGGAGCGTGCCTGTAATCCTAGCTACTTGGGAGGCTGAGGCAGAAGAATTGCTTGAACCCAGGAGGCGGAGGTTGCAGTGAGCCGAGATCGCGCCACTGCACTCCAGCCTGGGAAACAGAGCGAGATTATGTCTCAAAAAAAAAAATTTTAAGTACATTTCCTAAATGAAGGGTTTATAAAGGAACAAGAGCTACTGAAAATAGTGAGGACAAACTCCTGCATGGCCAAGAGCAAAATCAGGACTCGAGTCCCAGACTCTGGGAACTGAAGAAAAGGAGCATCACGTGTTTCCAAGCTCTCAAACTGTTCCTTCAAATAGTGTTCTGAAGTCATCATTTCCCCCATATCCCTTGAAAGCCTTCTTTGACTTCCATTTTTGTCATCTGTAAATTAAAATAACGAAGCACATTTCATAGACTGTCGTAAAAATAAATTAGATACCACAGGTAAAAATACCTGTAGATGCATTTGGCACGCAGACCATATTCAACAAATAGTAGCTTTGTTTTGCGAATTCTAGGAACTATTCACGTATATCCTAGATTATTTCTTTTCAGAGAAAGTGGCTGATGAGAGGGGAGATGATTTGGGGGAACAAAGGGGAAAATTTGTGAAGGGTATAGTACACACGTAAGACAAGGTGAAAACAACATCAGAGGTCAGAGGGTGACAGAATTGTAGGCCAATTTATAGCAAGCCACTGCAATTATCTGGAACTCAGGTGTTTGCGATATATTGGCTTATAAGGCATAAATGATGGATTTAGACTTTTGGACAGAACTTAGGACTTGTGGCTAACATGGCCATTGATTTTGTTTGATAGTGCCTTTCTGGAAGCCAAACTTCTATCAGCTAGGCAATTCAAATGGTGGCTAAGAGAAAAGCAGGCAGTGTCTCTTCAGAGAATCACCACACAGCTGCCAGGCACTATACAGGGCAATATTTTCCAATGATGATGGATAGGAATTTACTGTTCAGTGTCTTATTCCTTGCTACTGAGAGCAAGGAGTGTGTAGTTCATGCCTTCCGTTGATGAAATCACAGTACCATTAATAATAGATGCAAGCTTCCATATGGGTTAATTTGCCGTTTCTTTCCTTCTGGCTGACCATCTTACAGACGTGTTCCAGAGAGTCACAGAGGGGCAGAAACTGAGCTAAATTGATAAAATGCTACCACTTTTGCTAGAAAAGTACCAAACTGCATATTCAATTGATGCATATTTGAAAGAGCAATGTTGGTACGTTTCAAGCTCACAAGCTGTGAGTCTTTCTGAAAAAAAAATCACTTAAGAAATGTCATCCCTTCTGGGAGATTCCTCTAATGCTCTCAGGCAGAACTGGCTGGCACTTCCTATGATCACACACAATGTAACCTCCACTCAAAGGATAAGAAACGATTAAAGAACAAACTGTAGCCAACATTGCTCTAAGCTGGAATGTCTTTGAGTGGGGTGGAGTGTGTATCTAGAATACACGCTTCCTGTGCAGGGAGGGAGCCCTTTTCCCTCTGCATTCAGCTTGGAGGTTGCTCTCTTCTCAACATACAGGCAAGAGGTTATTCATGGCCTTCCCCCATAGAGAAGAGAGTTCACAGAACAAGGAAGAAGGTAAGGAACGATGAGAGCAGCTATACCCAATGGTGCAAACAGGACTGGTTACCAACAAACAAAGCAGGCTTCTGGCATTTTCCAGAGTATGCCTGAGAGGCTTAAGCATCACTCACATACACCGGCACAGAAGCTAGTGAGAAAGTGGGTAGCCAGAGCTACAAACACATGGGTCAAAAGTTCTGTTGCACTTCAAATGTGAAATTTGAACAATCTGAGGACTGAGGATAGACTGCAATTACTATTACAGCCTAGCCAAGGGGAACAACATTTCTAATTCTGATGCATCTAGAACTGAAAAAGCACAGAGGGTTTAAAGACAAAAAATAAAAGGGATAAGAGAAGAGAATCAGAGGACAGTCCTCCAGCACAGCTGAAAGCCAGAAACGATAAATAGGATTTGTCTTATTTAAAATACGCATGTTTAAAATATGTGTATTCTAAAACCATATGCATAAATCAACTTCTACAAAATACTTAGACAATTCACCTAATTGTTGAAGATTTGGTGTGCAGGACGGTAGTTTGGGGGCAATTTTAGTTTAGTTTCACTGAGAGTTCCTCACAGCTATTTCACCCTGGCCATTATACTTAAGATGATTCCGTCTATGTAGATTGAATATATTTTTCAGTGGCATTTTGAATTGCAGAGGGTAGGACTTTCCAGGACTCTATTTTACCTGTGAATGAGGAGAGCTTCTCTTAACTGAAATACACTGTCCTTATTTCATAAACATAGGCTCTTCTCCCACCCCGGACTCTGTTATACCCAGCCCTTGACCTGGTTGAAGGTACTCGTCTAACAATTTTAAATGCAATGGTCAAATTAGGTCAGGCACAGTGGCTCACACCTGTAATCCCAACACTTTGGGAGGTTGAGGCAGGCAGATCACTTAAGGCCAGGAGTTCGAGACCAGCCTGGCCAGCATGATGAAACCCTGTCTCTATAAAAAATACAAAAATTAGCTGGGCCTGGTGGCACATGTCTGTCATCACTCGGGAGGCTACTCGGGAGGCTGAGGCAGGAGAATTGCTTGAACCTGGGAGGTGGAGGGTGCAGTGAGTCAAGATTGCGCCACTGCACTCTAGCCTGGACAACAGAGCGAGACTCTATCTCAAAAAAAAAAAAAATGCTATAGTCAAATTACAAAACTGAGTTTTGGTGGATCAGTTTTCAGTTGACTTTCCCAACTCCTCCCCCAACCATGAAAGGTCTAATTCTTATCATACATCCCTTGTTTCATTCTACTCATAGTATTAGGTTGGTGCAAATGTAATCACGGTCTTTGCCATGACCGTGATTACATTTGCACCAACCTAATACTATGAGTAAAATGAAGTGATGGTAAAAACCAGAATTATTTTTGCACCAACCTAATAGTTTGGTGGCTCTGAAGAAACCCTAACTGACAAAAAAACGGGAAGGCATCTCAGGGTTTTTTGCAGACAATATGAAGTGAAGAGCCTGGCAGCCGTGTACGAATGGATGAAGGGAGGGGGCCCGTTGTACCTGCAGGGAGCCCCATAGGATGTCGCTATTATCCAGAAAAAATCAGGTAGTGTCTTGTCTGAGATGACACCAGTGTAGATGGCAAGAAACCAGAAGCAGTAAGAGGCAGAGCAGATGGAACTTTCTAACTGGACTTGCTGGTACTATAAAAGTATCCTCCAAATAAATGGACTTCTAAGAAAAAAGTGCTGTCTGGCCCAAATAGATCAGCACTTCTATTTTTTGAAGTGTTACATCACAGAGCGCGGCTGCACTCTAGAAACACTGCACTTAACACTGACATTTGATTTGTCACAAAAATATTTTTTAAATGCATCCTTTTTTTTTTTAAAGCTTGTTTGAATACTTCCATTGTGCATACAGGTTCAGACCTGCAATATATCTTCTTTGAAGCAGCCTGGGCCTGGACACTGACCAACGGTGACACCAGGAGTCCCTCCTTGGACACAGTCATCATGCTTCTACTCTCTCAGCTATTTATGGTGTAATGGCCCTACTGCATGTGCATTTATAACTTTTAATATTAAACACTGTCAAAAGAATCAGTAACCATGCCTGAATGAAAAGAAAGAAATCCCACCACTTAAGGATACAGAGCAATAATGGGACCCAGCAAGTTCTTTAAACTGTGACATAAATAAAGCAAAACTGCTCAGAGACACAAATGAGCAGCTTGTCGTTGGAGGAAAATGTTGGGTTTCATTCCCAAGCTTTCCTTTTTTTTTTTCAAATTGACTAAGAATGTAAGAAGAAAACCTGAGGAAATGTGCAAATTCTAAACAATTACGAGGACTATGGCAGTGACGAACCCAGGAAGTGACAGTGCTGGGAAAAGGCCTTTGCAGACAGGTCAGCCTGGGAAAGGTCTCCTCCTCTGGGTCAGCTCAGGCTTTTGCCATCCTGCATTCCTTGATGTGAGGTGTTCATCTTAAACTGGTAAGTAAATCCATTGAAGCCATTTGAAAACCCAGAAAACACATCAGACTCCTTGAATAAAAAAAATCGGCTTGTGGCTTCATTAACTCTTCAGTTTAACTTGGGCCAGTCAACCTCAAGTCACCAGGGTTGAGCAGATGGCCTTTGTGTAGACTGTGGTCTACAAACTTGTAACTGGTACCAGTGGCTTCCCAAATTTCTCTGTTTAGTGGCCAACTGAAAACATTTTTTTTTTTTTTAAATGGGGCTGGGCACGGTGGCTCAAGCCTGTAATCCCAGCACTTTGGGAGGCTGAGGCAGGCAAATCACCTGAGGTCAGGTGTTCGAGACTAGCCTGGCCAACATAGTAAAACCCCGTCTCCACTAAAAATACAAAAATTAGTCAGCTGTGGTGGCAGGCACCTGTAATACCAGCTACTCAGAAGCCTGAGGCAGGATAATCGCTTGAACCCGGGAGGCGGAGGTTGCAGTGAGCCAAAATCGTGCCATTGCACTCCAGCCTGGGCAACAAGAGCAACACTCCAACTCCAAAAAAAAAAAAAACGGAAACGAGGGAGGAAAAGGGAGAGGGAGGAAGAAAACAGTATTTCAACCCAGATCGAAGTGCAACATTACTCACTATAGTAACATCCTAGAGTTGGGACAAGTGCAATATTATTGTCAAGACACTGTCGGAATAACTGACCTTTAAATTTTACTTAATTTGAAAAACGAGATCTCATCTCTGCCCTTTTCATTCTCAGAAGGTTCCACACTCAATGCCTTGAGAATGTTTGATGTAAAATTCTTGATTTTACTAGCAACATATATTCCTGAGAGTGAAACATACACCAAGTTATTTGAATACAATGGTTATCACCTGCTTTTCTTCATGAAGAACTCTCCACGTTGAAGTCTGTCCTCTGCTTTTTCTACAGGGGATTTTCTGTCCCATGAAACCCTAGTCATAGGTTGCCTCCCAGAAACAGTGATACTTTGAGCCAGCTGCACAACTGGTCTTTAGCTGTATTTGATCAGTAAAGCACTTAAAATTTGTATTACTTTTAAGTCCTGGCAAACTACAGACAAATGTTTTAAACATGTAAAATATCTATATTCCTCTCATAGTTTCATCTGGAAGGCTATTCTTGAGGTGGTGTGGTCTAGTTGGTAAAATGATGGGTTCAGAGGTAAGAATCCATGGCTCTTCACTAAATAGCTGTGTGGGTTTGGGCAACTTGGTTAACCACTCCACACCTGTTTTTCCCATCTGTGAAATGAAGGGGTTGACCAGATAACTTCCAGATGGCATCCATGCATCAGTGATTCCTTTAGCTTGAAATGGATATTACTGACCACCTATAGATCACTAACAAACAATGAAAGCTATACTTGCACAATGGATTTTTAAATGTATATTTTAGGCTGGGCACAGTAGCTCACGCCTGTAGTCCCAGCACTTTGGAAGGCCGAGGTGGGTGAATCATTTGAGGTCAGGAGTTCAATACTAGCCTGGCCAACATGGTGAAACCCCATCTCTAAAAAAAAAATAAAATAAAATGTGTATTTTACATGCATGTGCAGACAGACAGACATCCATCTATCTATCTATCTATCTATCTATCTATCTATCTATCTATCGAAAGACAGAATGAATTTCCAGTTCACATCCTTCAAAGTTTAAAAGAAAACTCTAGGCCCAGCATGGTGGCACATGCCTGTAATCCCAGCACTCTGGGAGGCCAAGGCAGGCAGACTGCTTGAGCTCAAGGGTTTGATACCAGCCTGTGCAATATGGCCAGCCCATCTCTACTAAAAACACAAAAATTAGCCAGGCATGGTGATGTGTGCCTATAGTCCCAGCTACTTGAGAGGCTGAGGTGGGAGTATTGCTTGAGCCTGGAAGCCAGAGGCTGCAGTGAGCCCAAATCACACCACTACACTCCAATCTGGGTGACAGAGTGAGACCCTGTCTCAAAAAAAAAAAAAAAAAAAAAAGAATTCTAGGATGGAGGGGTGGTTTGAATAAAACCCCAATGCCAGGCACAGCAGCTCAAGCCTGTAATTCCAGGACTTTGAGAGGCTGAGGTGGGACAATTGCTTGAGTCTAGAAGTTTGAGACCAGCCTGGGAAACATAGCAACACCTTGTCTCTACAAAAATTAGCTGGGCATGGTGGGGCACTCCTGTGGTCCAAGCTACTCTGGAGGCTGAGGTGGGAGGATCACTTGAACCTGCGAGGTTGAGGCTGAGGCTGCAGTGAGCCTTGATCACACCACTGCACTCCAACCTGGCCAACAAAGTAAAACCCTGTCTTAAAAAAATAAAAAAGAAGAACCCAAAACTTGGAGTCTTGGCTCCAGTGTTTTCTGGCTGTGTGACTGTGGAGCATTTAAAAGCTTCTCATGACTTAGTTTCCTCACTTGAAAACTGGAATATCTGCCTGATTAACCACATAAGATTTGAAATAAAAAGCAAGTAAAACGATACCTAAAAGCACCACTTAAATAAGAAAGTATGAGGTCGGGCATGGTGGCTCAGGCCTGTAATCCCAGCACTTTGGGAGGCCGAGGTGGGCAGATCACGAGGTCAGGAGTTCGAGACCAGCCTGGCCATCACAGTGAAACCCTGTCTACTAAAAATACAAAAATTAGCCAGGTGTGGTGGCACGCGTCTGTAGTCCCAGCTAGTCAGGAGGCTGAGGCAGGAGAATCGTTTGAACCCGGGAGGCAGAGGTTGTAGTGAGCCAAGGCCGTACCATTGCACTCCAGCCTGGGCAACAGAGCGAGGCTCCATCTCAAAATAATAATAATAATATATAAATGTTCAGGATTATGATTATTAAACTGATAAGAACAGACACTACACTTGATCTTTGCCAAAAGGCCAAGAAGCAATAGGATTATGATTATACATTAAACTTTGAACTATTTTCCAAATATTTGCTGAGTATCCTTGGACAAATCAGCATAAACTTGTTCTTTCAAAAAAATTAGCAATAAGGGGCTTAAGTTTATGAACAAAACTGAAGCTGTAATTTGCTTATCCTCTAAATGAATTTCTTCATTTGAGGCCTGTGATTAAAAGTAGATTGACAGCTGCAATTGACATCACAACTCATTAGGTTTTTGGAAACGATGCACCAAAGTGACTACAGCTACAGGAGGTCCTCATTATCCATGGATAAGCAGTACTGGAAATGACGTTTTCGATGAATGTGCTTCCTACAGTGGGTTAGTCTCCATGATGACCTTCAGTGCATTCCAATACTCAAATCCTTGTGTAGCCCCCTTCTACCCTGTACCAGAGCTGGTCGGTGAATCACTTTAACCAACAGAATGTGAATAAAGTGATGCAAAGCCAGTTTGGGACCCATATCATTGGAAGCAGCTTCTGCTTTTGTGCCTTGCAAAACCCCGAGTTGCAATGTAAGAATCTGGCTACCTTCCTACATGGAGAAGAGGCCCTGAGACAATATGGAGAGAAAGAGAGTCTCCAGCCATCCCAGGGCCCCCAGTCATTTCAGCCTTGAGGCCGTCCCTGTGAAGGTAGCAGATAAGTGAGTTACCCTGGACATTCTAGTCCAGCCAAGATCCCAAATGATGTCAGGCCCAGCTAAATGCAACTGGCAGAATCTGACCAACCCACAGAATGATGAGGGACAATAAAATGGTGGTTGTTTGTAACCTCTGGCTTAGGGATGGTGCTATAAATGTGTGTGTCCCTCCAAAATTCCTATGTTGAAATCCTAATCCCCAGTAACAGTATTAGCAGGTGGGGCCTTTGAGAGGTGATCAACTGATGAAGGTAAAGGCTTCATAAATGGAATTAGTCCCTTTATAAAAAAGACCCCAAAGAGCTTCCTCCTTCCTTCCACCATGTGAACACACAGCAAGATGACCATCTGCAAACCAGGACATAGGCCCTCCCAGACACCAAATCTGCCAGGGCTTCAATCTTAGACTTCTCAGCCTTCAGAATGATGAGAAATAAATTTGTTTTGTTTTGTTTTTTGAGATGGAGTCTCACTTTGTCACCCAGGCTGGAGTGCAGTGGTGCGATCTCGGCTCACTGCAACCTCTGCTTCCTGGGTTCAAGCGATTCTCCTGCCTCAGCCTCCTGAGTAGCTGGGATTACAGGTGCACGCCACCATGCCCAGCTAATTTTTTGTATTTTTAGCGGAGACGGAGTTTCACCATGCTGGCCAGGCTGGTCTCGAACTCCTGACCTCATGATCCACCTGCCTCGGCCTCTCAAACTGCTGGGATTACAGTTGTCACCCACGAAGCCTGACCAAATTTCTTTTTTTTTGGTAAGCCACCCAGGCTATATTATTCTGTTAGAGCACCCCAAATGGGTAGGTGGTTTGTTACACAGCAGTAGGTATTCAAAATATAGAGACTAACGCCGAATAATATGTCATTTTTAAAGGGCTTAAGATTTTACACTAAAAAAAATCAAAATAAGTCATCATTATAAATATGCCCTAATGGTTAGAACAAAGAATTATTTGAGTGTTAGATTTGGTGGGGAGGGAAGATCATTTTTCTGACAAAATTATGTGAGATGACATTCTTTTCTTGACTTTTGTACCCCAGTGATGAAAAAAGTTTTGCAAAAATATTTTTGAAGACTATCATTTTCTTTTTTAACCAAGGTCCTCTATTAACTGGTTGTTATGCAACTTCTATTCTGAAGCACTTGTCTTGATACCATTCCTACCAATTTCTCCTCTTGGGCTGTTAAGGGTCTAACTCCCAGGTTCAAACAACTTTCCTGCCTCAGCCTCTCAAGTAGCTGGGATTACAGGCACATGCCACCACAACTGGCTAATTTTTTGTATTTTTAGTAGAGATGACGTTTCACTGTGTTGGCCAGGCTGGTCTCGAACTCCTGACCTCGTGATCTGCCCACCTAGGCCTCCCAAAGTGCTGGGATTACAGGCCTGAGCCACGGTGCCCGGCCAGGTACTTTATTATTTAAGTAGTGCTTTTAGGTATCATTTTACTTGCTTTTTATTTCAAATTTCATGTGGTTAATCAGGCAGATATTATTCCAGTTTTCAAGTGAGGAAACTAAGTCATGAGAAGCTTTTAAATGCTCCACAGTCACACAGCCAGACTTTGGCTTTGGAGGTATTTTGGCATTTCTCCAATATCTCTTTCAGCAGCTTCATGACAAACTGCATCTTTAAGGTTTTCAGTTTTAGTTTGCAATCTCTTTGCATCTTATTACTTGATATTTATGAGCGTTTACAGCATTCGGCCAGAGACGAAGAAAAAGATGCGGAGATGCAAGGCAGGAACAGAAAGTGATATTAAGGACACAGGAATGCTTACAGGAGAACTAACTGTTTTTTTTTTTTTTTTTTTTTTTTTTTTCGGATGGAGTCTCACTCTATCACCCAGGCTGGAGTGCAGTGGTGCGATTTCGGCTCACTGCAACCTCCGCCTCCCGGGTTCAAGCGCTAGGAGAACTAATTTTTAATAGTGAGTTCATTTGTGCATAGATTTGGTTTATCTAAGGAACTTACTAACTGGGGTGTGCTGGAGAGGAGGACTCATAATGAATATATCATGAGGTTCCACAGTATATTCCAGCACTGCGTGGATTTATCTTCCTTTGACTTCATCAGGGGCTTCGTCAGGTTAGAGGTGGGGTGGGCAGAAGGCCTCCTTTATTCCCAATAGTTACATAGTATCTAGTGTTTATTTTGCATCAGTGAGACTCATTTGAGCCGAATAAAGAGAAGGAAAGTATCACAACTAGTTTATACCTTAATTAAAGAATGAAAGAGCCAAACGGTTTATTCCAAAGTGAATAAAGTACAATGTGCTCTAACTCTAAAATTCCAATAAAGTTTTTTCCTTTTTTTTTTTTTGGTTGAAGTTTGCAAGGAAATTGGGTATGTAATATGGAGAGCTATGCCCTAAGACCTACTCGATTAAATTACTCTACAAATACTTTATCTTTTATGTCCAGACAACATGAAGTCTGGTTTAAATGTTGACTTCTTAGAAATGAAGAGAATAGAAGCTACATACATAAAATTCTCACTTCTACAAACTAAACCTGAAGCACAGTGTATTTTATTTGTATAAATTCCAGATGGCACAACATAATAGAAAACTGTTCAAATTTCAAAAAGCTGTCCAGAGGTCCAAATGCCAAAGAAGTAAAGTATTTATTAGGAATTATTATCCTCAGATAAACCCCAAAACATGGTGGGGGAGAAGGACTGTATTAGTCTGTTCTCAGGCTGCTAATAAAGATATAACTGAGACTGGGTAATTTATAAAGGAAAGGGGTTTAATGGACTCACAATTCCATATGGCTGGGGAGGACTCTCAATCATGGCGGACGGCAAATGAGGAACAAAGCCATGACTTACATGGCAGCAGGCAAGAGAGCTTGCACAGGGGAACTCCCATTTATAAAACCAGCGGATCTCATGAGATTTATTCATTACCAGGAGAACAGTATGGGGGAAACCGCCCCCGTGATTCAATTATCTCCACCTGGCCCCACCCTTGACACATGGGGATTATTACAATTCAAGGTGAGATGTGGGTGGGGACACAGTCAATCCGTATGAGGCATACATGATTCCAGTTTTATCATGGGATAAATGCTAAATCATAAAAATAATATCTATATAATATTTAAGGAACTTATACTAGCAATACGAGAAACACCAAATAACCAACTGCAATTTTTTATTTATAGATATCCAGCTTCACATTCAAGATGAAATCTTTCCATTTAAAATGGTAACTTAGTCCTTAAAAGTTAGCAGTAGTCATATTGTGGGAATCCAATAGAAAGCATCACTTGAGAGACAGTTACAACAAATCCAGCCCGTTCATTGACTCATTTGTGAAAATAGGAAGATTGTAGTGAGCGTGGAGGTATGACAACCTCCTAGCCACACGCTGGCAAAAGTGCAAATTTGCCCAACTTGTCTGAAAAGTAATTTAGCAGTAAGTATCCCAAGTCTTAAAAATGTTGCTCTGCTGGTGAGAATCTGTCTTAAGAGAATATTTAGACATGTGTAAAAAAGATTTATACTCAAAGAGTCCATTATGGCATTATATAGATGGCAACAAAATGTCTTATAACATAGGAATGTTTACATATAAACAGGATGGAACATTATGCAACCATTCAATTATATTTGCAAAGAATATTTAATGACATAGAAAAATGCTCTTATATTCTGTATGCTCTTTGATGTGAAGAAAAAAATGAGGAAAATAAAGAAAAATGCTCTTATTACCTGAAAAAGCAAAACACAAAACTAGTTTAAGTATTTTAAATACGATAAAAATTTATACGGAGTGTATGTATCTACACATAAATAGGACTTAACAGCCAGAGACACTAAAATGTGAAGCTCATCTTTGAGCAGGAGGAGTGAAGATCGACCATTTTTTTTCCTTCATTACAATTTAATGTATTTTCCAGTTTTTAATGTTTATAACATTTATAATCAGTAAAAGGGAGTAAAATGGGAAAAGATCAATGTTACTAGTGTAAATCCATCAGATGCTTATTGTAATGTCACAGGTAAAATAGTAACATATACATTTTGAATCCCCCAACCAAAACACACAGGCAGGCAACGAGTTATGAACTCAAGAGCTATTTCAAATTCTTTATTATCACAAAGTTGCTAATTGCCTGTCTTGCCTGAGACTTGATATTGTTCCTGCGCAATATTTCAGATCAAATTACATGCCTTTCTAGTGCTATGGTTCATTTTAATTCAATTCAAGCTGTTTGAGGTAGTCCATCGCCGACTGATTTTGACTTTGGTGGAAGTCTTGAAGCCCAGTGACAATTCTAGAAAAAGCTCCATGGCCTGAATAATTCGTATCACAGTTAAGCCAGACCAGGAACAAGATCTCATCTGAACACACTCATATGAGGGGTTAGCAGCGGAAATGGAGGCGGGGGTGTTGTGAAGGGAAGTTCTTAATCATAAATTAGGAAGTGTCAGTCATCATTTTTAAGTTAAAAAAAAAAGAATCAAGAACAATAAATTGTAAGTAAAGATAAACCATAAAAATAGAACCATAGAAAGAAACCTTTTTAAAGAACAGAACCATAAGAAGAATTTTTTTTGTTTTTTTTGAGATGGAGCCTTGCTCTGTCACCCAGGCTGGAGTGGAGTGGCACAATCTTGGCTCACTGCAACCTCCACCTTCCAGATTCAAGTGATTCTCCTGCCTCAGCCTCCCAAGTAGCTGGGATTACGGGCACCCGCCACCACACCCAGCTAAGTTTTGTATTTTTAGTAGACATGGGGTTTCACTCTGTTGGCCAGGCTGGTCTTGAACTCCTGACCTCAAGTGATCTGCCTGCCTCGATCTCCCAAAGTGCTGGGATTACAGGCGTGAGCCACCGCTCCCTCCCAAGAAACCCTTTTAATGGAGGGCGAAAAGCCTCAACAGGATGAAATAAAAAGTTACTATGGATTTGATAAATATGTATTAAGCAGTTAATAAGTGTAAGATGTTATTCGAGGCAGGTAAGGTCTATGGGAGATACAAAGATAGATAAGAGTCCTGTGGCCTCACTTGGAGGCTGGGAACCAACAATAATGCCTTTTGTTCATTGACTAAGCTTCTACTATGTGTTGCTTAAAGCACTTTACATCTCTTATCTCAAATTTTCACGAATGCATTGCTGGCTTGATATTCTATGAGGAAAGTAAGGCCAAGAAAAGTTAAGAAACTTGCCCCTGGACTGAAAGGCTGCAATTCCAACCTAAGTCTGCTTAGAGAATGCCAAATATTGACTATGAACAGCACTTCATACACAGTTCTGCTAAGATTAATTAGACTAGTTTAGCCGACAATAACAATAGATAGCAACCTTATTGTAAAATTACCATGTGCCAAGCCCAGCACTCGGTAATTTACATGACATTTCTATATTTTTCACATTCTCTCTGATGCAACATCTACAAATGCTCTTATTTAAATTAAAAAAAAAAACAAAAAAACAAACAAAAAAAACAGCCAGGCACGGTGGCTCATGCTATAACCCCAGCACCACTTTGGGAGGCTGAGGCAGGAGGACTGCTTGAGCCCAGGAGTTCGCAATCAGCTTGGGCAACAAAGTGAGACCTCATCTCTAGAAAAACAAATCCCAAAATTAGTCAGCCATGGTGACATGCACCTGTGGTCCCACCTACACAGGAGGCTGAGGCAGAAGGATCACTTGAGCCTGGACTCGAGGCTATGAGCCAAGTTCATGCTCTCAGAAACAAACAAACAAACAACAGAATGAACTCAGATTTCATCCAAGACTCCTGCCTCACCCACACCCACTCAGTTTCTAAATCCCGTAAATTCCACCACTTTAATAGCTCTTTGATTCCTTTTCCCCTTCATTCTCACAGTCACGATCTTAGTAGGAACCACCATCATCTCACAGATGGATTCCAGTAAAAGCTTCTCAGAAGTCTCTCTGGCTTTGCAATCCACCTTAGGAAGCCTATACAGCGCTCTTTCTAAATCGCAGACAAGAATGTGTCTCTCCCTGAGTCTTCTTCTAATCTTAAAAAACAAATCTGAACATAGAGCCTGATAGTACCCTATGAACCCACTCTGCACTCACCTGCCCTTTCCTGGACTTTTTATCTTCTCCCCTGTCGCAAGGTCTCTGAGCAGGTTTCTGCCTCTTTGCTCTCAGCTTGCAAATCCAGCCCACTCCCACTCTGCCTCCCTAACCCTTTCCCAGTCCTGGCCAACTTCTACTCGGCCTTCAGCACTCTTCCTAACTAGAAGATTGTCCTGTGGTTCCTCCTTGTTGCTCAAGCAATACAGGTAAGATGTCAATTCTAGGTACTCTCATAGCACCTCAATTTCACCTTAATAATGCACTTCTTCTGATTTTTGTTTTTTGGCTTTTTTTTTTAAGAGACAGGGTCTCACTCTGTCACCCAGGCTGGGGTACAGGGGTATGATCGTAGCTCATTGCAGCCTCAAACTCCTGGGCTCAAGAGATCCTCCCACCTCAGCCTCCTGAGTAGTTGGGACTACAAGTGCACGTTGCCACACCCAATTATTTTTTTTATTTTCTATAGAGAAAGGGGTCTCCCTGTGTTGCCCAGGCTGGTTTTGAACTCCTGGACTCAAGGGATCCTCCCACCTTGGCCCCCAAAGTAATGGGATTATAGGCATGAGCCATTGCACCTAGCTACCTTCTTCTGTTTTATGTCTTTTCCATCAGACTTTGAGCTCGTTGCGGTGAGTCACATCTTTGCCTCTCAGTCCTCAGTTCCCTGCAGTGCCTGGTACACAGTATGTATTTAGCGAACATCTAGATGCTTGCTTGTTTTAGTCCCGCTTTATCCACAAAGGGTTTGAGGAGACTCGCACAAAGGAATCATACAATAAAGTAAGAAAACAAAAATTAAAGCAGAAGCAAAGAATTATAAATAGAAGTGGAATTAGCACTAGAAAAGAACAACAAAAATGTGTAGTTAATAGAGGTTAAAAGTCACTAAAAAAAAAAAAGAGCTAAACATTTTCCTGGAAGTTTTTTGTTTTGAGATGGAGTTTTGCTCTGTCACCCAGGCTGGAGTACGGTGGTTTGATCTCGGCTCACTGCAACCTCTGCCTCCCTGGTTCAAGTGATTCTCCTGCCTCGGCCTTCCGAGTAGCTAGGATTACAGGTGTCTGCCACCACACTCGGCTAATTTTTGTATTTTTAGTAGAGACGGGGTTTCGCCATGTTGGCCAGGCTGGTCTCAAACTCCTGACCTAAAGTGATCCGCCTGCCTCAGCCTCCCAAAGTGCTGGGATTACAGTCATGAGCCACCATGCCTGGCCATTTTCTTGGAATCTTTATTTAATATATTTCTGACAATAGATAATTCTGAGATCACAGCACAGCCCTTTTACGGAATATGACATTATTTTCCCAAATCGGAAGAGCTAAAAATTATTAAAAAGCATGGAAAATGTTTTTCCCAAAGTGTTTGGGCTCTGGATTTTGAAGCCAGGTTTGCTTTTTCAACTTTCCTGTATCTTCACACTCCAAGTTCTCAGAAGGCAGCAAATATACTATTTTATTTTACTATTATTATTGAGACATAATTTTACTCATGTAACCCAGGCTGGAGTGCAATTGCACACTGCAACCTCCATCTTCCAGGTTCAAGCAATTCTCCTGCGTCAGCCTCCCGAGTAGCTAGGATTACAGGCACCCACTACCACACCTGGCTAATTTTTGTATTTTTAGTAGAGACTGCGTTTCACCATGTAGGCCAGACTGGTCTCGAACTCCTGACCTCAGGTGATCCACCCACCTCAACCTCCCAAAGTGTTGGGATTACAGGCATGAGTCACTGAGCCCGGCAGCAAATGTGCTATTTTAGATTATTATTCTGTACCCAACTACATAGGAATACATAGCCTTTTTATGTTTTGTTTTTGTTTTTTTAACTTTCCCTTACTATCCACAGTAGTGCCCTCTTATCCAAAGAAAATCTGTTCCAGGGGCCCCAGTGGATGTGTGAAACCGCAAATAGTACCTAACCCTGTAGATACTATGTTTTTGTCCCATATATACATACTTATGATAAAGTTTAATTTATAATTTAGGCACAGTAAAAGATTAGCAACAATAACTAATAATAAAATAGAAGAATTATAACAATATGCTGGAATAAAACTTACGTGAATGCGGTTTCTCTCCTCTCTCTCTTTCTGTCTTAAAATACCTTAATATTTTCAGACTGTGGTTGACTACAGGTAACTGAAACCACAAAAAGCAAAACCATGGATAAGGGGACAGTAGTGTAAGAGCCAGAATCTTGAGCATATAAAAAAATAACAGCAAGTGACTTCATCTCCAAAGACATTTCCTATCTGCATTGGTGGAAGTCAACTGAAAATCAGAAAACTAAAAATACTTAGTAAAGTTACTGCAAGTGACTCATGGCCATAGGTCTTCCTTTATAAGAAGTAAAACTGGATAATGGCTCTTAGGTAAATGTTTTAAATGTATAGACCATCCTCAGGAATTTCTTGCTAAGGCCGTTTAATTTTTAAATAAACTTTGAATCACAGAAAGGCTGTATGATTCAGTTGCACAAATAACAATACAGTATATCTAAAAGGTATTTCCCACACAAGTCTCCCCAGGTCCTTTGAAGATCACACGGTAGACTCTCCAAGAAAAGTCTTGATTTTGGCTACCACGTTTTGTTAATCCAGAGTTGAAAAGAATCAGGCCAGGTGCAGTGGCTCATGCCTGTAAGCCCAGCACTTTGGGAGGCAGAGACAGGCGGATCACTTGAGGCCAGGAGTTTGAGACCAGCCTGGCCAACATGGCAAGACCCCATCTCTACTAATAATACAAAAATTAGCTGGGCGTGGTGGCCCATGCCTGTAATCCCAGTTACTTGGGAGGCTGAGTCATGAGAATCACTTGAATTGGGGAGGCGGAGGTTGCAGTGAGCTGAGATGGTGCCACTGCACTGCAACCTGGGTGACAGGGCAAAATTCTGTCTCAAACAAACAATCAGTGCAGATACCTGTTTTTAGATGGTCTAACCTAGCCTGTTTGGTGTAAAAAAAAAAAAAAGGTAGTTATAACAGAAAAAGGTCTGACAGCCACTAGCAGGGAGCTCAGAGACTTTTCCATTCTGACTCTAGCCCTTGCCTTGCTCTGGTCTGCTGCCTGCCTGGACACCTGCCTGGGAAAGTCAACACCATAATTGATGAAAAGGAGAGTTGTACTTGTAACTAGATTTTGTTTTGATAACTAACTCCATTCCCATACTTGGAACACTAGGTACAACTCTAAGCTATAACAGTGATATGGTTTGGCTTCACGTCCCCACCCAAATCTCATCTCAAATTGTAATCCCCATAATCCCTACATATTGAGGGAGGGAACAGATGGGAGGTGATTAGAGCATGGCGACAGTTTTCCCCATGCTGTTCTCATGATAGTTAGTGGGTTCTCATGAGATCTTATGGTTTTATGAGGCAGTTTTCCCTGCTCTCACTTGCCCTCTCTCTCCTGCTGCCATGTAAGACATGCGTGATTCCCCTTCCACCACAATTTTACGTTTCCTGAGGCCTCCCCAGCCAGGCAGAACTATGAGTCAATTAAACCTCTTTCCATTATAAATTACCCAGACTTGGGTAGTATCTTTATAGCAGTGTGAGAATGAACTAATACAAACAGCAATTGCACAGAGGCAGATGATCAATAAATGTCTGCTCAACCAATGAGCAAATATTTCTGTTCTATCCACCCTTCAGTTCCATACTGATGGAATGTAATTTCAGCCACAAGCAAACCTATGTTTTCGTTGGCATTATGTCCTCTTTATAGGCTTGTGACCAATGATCTTTATGCTTCCTGAAATATTAAGAAAAACTGCTTTGATTTACAGATCTGAGGGGGCAACTTCGGTCTTAAGTTCTCAGGGCATAGGAAGGGAATTCAAGGAAATCAGCTTTCCAAACGTGCTAATTTCACCTGCATACATTTCAATTTAATGTTGCAAATGTTTCCTGAGGATCTACTAACTTCAACTGAAGATATGCAGGGAAACGAAGATGAAAAAGAAACAATCCTGGCCCTAGGAGAGGAGCCACCAACACAGTGCCTACCTTAGCACATATATGGTAAGCATTCAATGAGTCACTCATCGTTTTTATATATTCATAGGATACTTACGATACAAAGCAGAGTGCAGTAAATGTCAGGAGAGAGGTACTGATATGGTTTGGCTGTGTCCCCACCCAAATCTTATCTTGAATTGTAGCTCCCACAATTCCCATATGTCATGGAGGGACCCAGTGGGAGGTATTTGAATCATGGGGGTGGGTCTTTCTCATGCTATTCTCGTGATAGTGTTTAAGTCTCACGAGATCTGATGGTTTTATAAAGAGGAATTCCCCTGCACGAGTTCTCTCTTCCCTGTTGCCATGTAAGATGTGACTTTGCTCATCCTTCCCTTCCCACCATGATTGTGAGGCCTCCCCAGCCATGTGGAACAGTGAGTCAATTAAACCTCCTTTCTTTATAAATTACCCAGTCTCAGGTATGTCTTTATCTGGAGCATGAAAATGGATGGATACAGGTACAAAGCAAGTGCCCTGTGAGATCGGTGTGGACAACATTCACTGATACTGGAGGAATGAGAAGGCTTCCTGGAGGAGGTGGCTTGTCACAGAGACATTCTGATGATATGAGCAATGAGGAGCATGTTTCCAGACTTTAAAGCATCCCGTAAAGGCTGATTGTAGGTTGTACATTAGCTTACAGTGAAAAATACTGACACAAGGGCTTGGCCCAGAGGATGAGAACTACATAAGGGCGATCATTAAGTAGGCAGTTGGAATACAGGTTGAAAGCTGGAGAAACCAGAGACCAGGAGACGAGTCAGGAAACACAAGCCTAAATAAATACTGTTTTCCCCCCTGCTCCAACTTACAAAAGTATTGTAATAATCATAGTTTGAAAACAAAATAGGAAAGCCTTCAAAGTTGAGTAAAACCAGCATGACCTGAATACTTAACTGATCTCTCGATTGTGTTTATTGACAGGAAAAAAGTTAAATCAAAATGCTGAGAACAATTAGAAAGTTCCTAGGAATTGAATTCTGAACTCTCAAGGCCACAATGATGACCACTATTAATAAAGTATTGTATGGATGTGTCTTCATAAAACTCTGACTATATTAAACCCTCAGCTTTCTATATTGCTGGTTTCATTACCTTCAAGAGATTATGGAAGATCAGAAGTGTTATCTGCCATAATAATGCTGTGTGTTTCTCTGAAGAGCTTAGATCCTCTACACACTTTAATTAAATCTCCTAATGTACCGGTGAAGTAGGCAAGGGATCAACAGAAGGTGAGTCATCAAAAACAGTGGAAGACCGGACCGTCGGATGTACTTTGAGACGAAATCCACTTTTATTATTATTGTTCCCATTTCACCAATGAGGAAATGGGGTTATTATTGAGACAAGGATGATGAGCTGTATTCCACTTTCACTAAAGGCAGAATCCACTGCTATAGGTTCCTTAAGCATCCTGTGGGAGACCTTTAAAAATAGTATAACAACCATGACCTCTGAGATTTCTCCTTTGGGCGTCGACCAACACTTATTAATAAACACCTAAAATGTGGGCCAAAGAAAATATGCGTTGGCCGGGCATGGTGGCTCACGCCTGTAATCCCAGCAGTTTGGGAAGCCGAGATGAGCGGATCACCTGAGGTCAGGAGTTCGAGACCAGCCTGGCCAACACGGTGAAACCGTGTCTCTACTAAAAATACAAAAATTAGCCGGGCATGGTGGCACCCGCCTGTAATCCCGGCTAATCGGGAGGCTGAGGCAGGAGAATTGCTTGAACCCGGAAGGCAGAGGTTGCAGTTAGCCAAGATCGCGCCTGCCATGGCACTCCAGCCTGGGTGATAAGAGCGAGACTTGGTCTCAAAAAACAACAAAAAAAAGAAAATATGCATCACCTGTTTCTTATAAAAGAACACAGGACAAGAATCCCAATTTATCATGATAATCCCAATTAACATTTATCATGATAATCTCTTAGCTTTAATTAAGTGGTTTATCAGGAGCTTGGCTGAGTTCTTCCCTCTGTCTCCAAGTTTCCCTCAGCTAGACAGATGAGTGAGAAACAGTATTTTTTTTTTTTTTTTTTTTTTTTAGACAGAGTCTCGCTCTGTCGCCCAGGCTGGAGTATGGAGTGCAGTGGAACAATCTTGGCTCACTGCAACCTCCGCCTCCCGGGTTCAAGCGATTCTGCTGCCTCAGTCTCCCGAGTAGCTGAGACTACAGGTGCCTGCCGTCAAGCCCGACTAATTTTTTGTATTTTTAGTACAGACGGGGTTTCACCATGTTAGCCAGGATGGTCTCCATCTCCTGACCTTGTGATTTGCACTCCTCGGCCTCCCAAAGTGCTGGGGTTACAGGCGTGACTCACCACGCCCGGCAGCCATCAATCTTAAGGAGGTAATGTTAAGAGTAGATTATGTGGCCGGGCATGGTGGCTCATGCCTGTAATCCCAGCACTTTGGGAGGCTGAGGCGGGTGGATCACTTGAGGCCAGGAGTTTGAGACCAGCCTGGCCTACATGGTGAAACCCCGTCTCTACTAAAAATACAAAAATTAGCCAGGCATGGTAGTACATGCTTGTAATCCCAGCTACTCAGGAGGCTGAGGCAGGAGAATCACTTTAACCTGGGAGCCGGAGTCTACAGAGCGCTAAGATTGCATCACTGCACTCCAGCCTGGTCAACAGAGCGAGACTCTGTCTCAAAAAAAAAAAAAAAAAAGTAGATTATGTGGAAGACACAGCACAAATCGCAGGGCTGGAAAAATTGCAAAGACGAGAAAACTCACAACAAGTCTTAACTCTTGGTTCTACCCTTAGGATACTGCTATAAACAAACCCTAAAGTCAGACTCAGAAAAACAAACACAAACGCCACCATCATATATGATTTAATTTGTAAACCAACTGTACTTCTTATAAAGGAAATAAATAAAGGAAGTAAACCACTTTGACAGATTATCCACTGCTCTCTCAATCCAACCACCTCTCATAAAGTCCTAGGAAAAGGCTGGGCGTGGTGGCTCACACCTGTAATCCCAGCACTTTGGGAGGCCGAGGCGGGTGGATTGCTTGAGGTCAGGAGTTCAGGACCAGCCTGGCCTTCATGGGGAAACCCCATCTGTACTAAAAATACAAAAATTAGCCAGGCGTAGTGGCAGGCGCCTGTAATTCCAGGTACTTGGGGGGCTGAGGCAGGAGAATTGCTTGAACCCGGGAGGCAGAGGTTGCAGCGAGCTGAGATCATGCCATCACACTCCAGCCTGGGTGACAAGAGCAAGACTTCGTCTCAAAAAAAAAAAAAAATCCTAGGAAATACGGTCATGGCTTCCAGTAAAACAGAGACCCCAGTTTGAAAAAAAAAGTCATGAAAAAGATAAATGTTGTTATTTTAGGTAATGATTTGGTATCACTCAAGTCTTAAAAAGTAATGGAAATGCATATAATGAAACCCTAGGGCAATATATGGTTATAAAATAGGTATATTGATTCAGAATATGCTTAAAATGGTTTGATGATTACAAAAATGAAAAGACAAAATCAAAATTTTGTTGAGAGTTTGTGGAACTCCAAGTTTGAGAAAAATTGCTCTAGAGGTCGCCTTTATTAATGGTCTAGGAAAGAACTCAAAGTAACAAATTTTGTCTGGTCCTAAGAGAGTGTGGCACCTGACAGAGAGAAGTGTTTTGGGGAAAGACTAGTATCTGATGTACTAAAAGTAAGGTAACAAACAGCTAATTTCAACTCCTGAAAGCTGATTTACTACAATGGGGTCAAGGGCAAATCTGTAATGACTACATGTGTCATAGAGCAATAATCACTCTTTCCTGGTCTTTGAGATGGCTGAGAAAATACTCTAACTGAATTCTAAATTCTCTAGCGAAAAAGTCTCACAAAAATAGAAAAAATCTCCACTATCAAATAACAAATTTTAATTAACTCATATGTATATATAATTATATATGTAATTAAATATAAAGGAATTTAATTATATTTAATTTGCTAAAATTTAATTTGCTTATATATTTTCCCCATAAAAATAAGCTGCAGTAAAATATTTAGAAAGGTTCCTCTAGTACCATAGCTTAATTGAGCACCTCAATCATTGCTATCACCTGCTTCCTAAGAATTCACAGAAAATCACATATTTAAAATATTATTTGAGACAATGATTTATCTATATACTTATATAATTATGCAAGTGAAAAATCTCCTTTCACTGTAGTTTTAACTGTAATTTAACAATATTGCCGATATATCAAATGACTGTAATTTTTGGCCAGGTGCGGTGGCTCATGCCTATAATCCCAGCACTTTGGGAGGCTGAAGCAGGTGGATCACCTGAGGTCAGGAGTTCGAGACCAGCCTGGCCAACATGGTGAAACCCCGTCTCTATCAAAATTACCAAAATTAGCCAGACGTGGTGGCGGGTGCCTGTAATCCCCGCTAATTGGGAGGCTGAGGCAGGAGAATCTCTTGAACCCGGGAGGTAGAGGTTGCAGTAGGATGCCTGGGCAACAGAGTGAGACTCTATTTAAAAAAAAAGACTGTAATTTTCATCTCTTTTTGATTAGACTTATATCTGCAACTTTAATAATTTTAATACATTTCTTAAATAAAAAAAGAAAGTTTAAGTCAAATTACAAATCTACTGCTAAAAAATGTCAAATTATTAAATGTCATCCAAGTAAGGACTGGTTTTAAATTGAGATTAATGGTTTTTAAAGTAGGTAAAATATATTATTAAGTATTAAAATGTATAATGCTTAAAATAAAAATATTTGCATTTCAATTAATGTTAAATACTATTTGACTTTAGAATTTTTGAGCTGGAATAAACTATGGAGATCATTTAATTTGATGACTTCATTTTTAGATGCTAAAATGGAATCCTTAATCTTTTGAAGGTCAGATAGCCTAAACTAGAACCCAGTCTCTCAACTTGTCCAATGTTTGTTTTACTAACTATGTAGGTATTTACTATGAACATCAAAATTAGTTATTCTTGTCTCTGTTAATAAAGAAGTATTAACCCAAGGTAACATCACATCTTAGCCTAAAAAAGAGGCTATGCTAACCCAGGACCAGAAGACCTAATCTCAATTCCACTGTTCACTGAATGACACGAAACAAGCCCTTTAACTGCAGTGTGCTTTCCTTTTCCTAATTAGAAAAATAAGACTCTAGTAATTTAAATTGTCTTCTTCATTTGGTCATTGCAAGAAGGGGTAATAAATATAACCCTGGGCTGGGTGCAGCAGCCCCTGCCTGTAATCCCAGCACTGTGGGAGGCCGAGGCGGGCAGATCACCTGAGGTCGGGAGTTCGAGATCAGCCTGACCAACGTGGAAAAAACCCCATCCCTACTAAAAATACAAAATTACCCAGGCATGGTGGCGCATGCCTGTAATCCCAGCCACTCAGGAGGCTGAGGCAGGAGACTCGGTTGAACCCGGGAGGCGGAGGTTGTGGTGAGCCAAGATGGTGCATTGCACCCCAGCCTGAGTAAGGAGAGCAAAACTTGGTCTCAAATAAGTAAATAAATAAATAAATAAATAAATAAATAAATAACTCTGAAATATACAGCATATCTAAGTGCAAAGCAAATACTTACTAACAAAAACTCAACTATATTTAGACCAAGGAGCAAGAACTAGTTTGAGTCATAATTAGGAGGGAATACATACGAGCTGCTGTGTGACCTCAAAACATCTGAACTAGCAGATGCAGGGGTGTATCTAACAAGTCCTGTAGTTCCTAAATGTTCCTAGTTTTTTAAAAATAATCGATATTTATCTAAACCGTACAATAATTATCAGTTTGAGAACAAATTAGAGCCCTATGATTTCTCAAAGGCCCCATTGATTCCTTAAACAGAGACAAATGTGGAGTAGCTACAGCACTGCTGGTAGAATCTGAAGAATTTACTATAGACCCACCCTGTAACTGATATATGCAGAGTATAAACCTTTGCAAGTATGATTCTCTAATAGTAAAATATACTTGCCCAAGTGACACGTAAAATCGTCCAGCTTCAGCTGACCTTTAAAAAACAAACAAAACTTATCAACTGGAATCTCTTGGATAAGAAATAGATCTTGCGACTGGAAGGGGTGAGAAGAATCACTAAGTGGGTTTTAAAAGTGTTGTAGAATGCAAATTTTTGAAGAAAAATACATTGATACTATGCATGGAGAATAGTCTGAAAGAAAATACCCAGAGATGCTAATATAGGTCATCTCTGGGGGTAGAATTTTTAAGGCTTTTTAAAAATCTTTTTTCCCTTTGCACTTATCTGTTCTGTCTGATTTTGAATATGGACTAATTTTGTTGTATATATAAAAGGTTATTATTCATGGAAAAAATTGTGCTTTAGTCTCTTGTATTGAGGGAGGTAAGGTGCTTTATGCTCACTTCAAAAATGAAACAAAAAGGCTGTCAATGTTAGTGGTTGTGATAGGAATGGAAATTGGACTCACGCTTCTTGTGTCTTGGTACTGTTTTTGGTTGCTTTAGAGGACCAGCAGAGAGGGAGCAAATCTGGAGAAGCAGCTTCAGTGACAGCTTTCACACCCAGTAAATACTAAAGGGCAGAGTTGCAAATGGTTTCTAGATACTTCTAAGCTTACACTCGCCATGCACTCCTTCCCCACAACTTTCATTCCTGGATTGCACGTCTCTGTCTCAAATTTAAACAAGCATTGCTTTCAGTGTTTAATTACAATTTAACGGAAATATGACTTGCATTCCAATTAGCTTTTGGTTTTCACATCATGAATGTGCATCTAAGTTATTGTGTCATTATAATCTCCTGTTCTAATGGCTTCATAATGCAAGTCCCTGCAGGGTTGAATTAGTAGTTTCCTATGGTAATCGCCCATCACTATAATATCATAATCGCATAAGCACAGTCCCCCCATGCATACACTGCAATCACTTTGACATTGTAAGAGCATTTTAATAGTATTAGCATAGATTCTCCAGAGAAATCATCTCATTGTCACTGCATTACCACATAAGATTAATTGTGATGGAGCCAAGTTGTGATATGAGAGCTTAAAAAAAAAAAGTGCTGGGCAGCAGCAAAACATTTCACTTCTCAAAAGTTCAACCCATTTTGCAGTCAGGTCTTCCTACAATCTTTAATTGAATATAAGGTCTTTCCACAAGATAATAGGGTTTCTTTTGTTTTGTTTTTCTTTCTGTTTGCTGACAGTTCATACAACACTAATAAATTGGGTCAGACCCTCTCTACCTTAGAGACAGAAAAAGCAGACATGGTGCCTGTCTTCAAGGAGTTTGCAATTTAATCAGGTTTATAACAAATTTTATACAGCATGTAGGTAAATGGAATGAATACACTTATGATAAACAAAATACTTTGAGGGCCCCGCATGGTGGCAGATGCCTGTAATCTCAGCACTTTGGGAGGCCAAGGCAGGTAGATCACCTGAGGCTGGGAGTTGAGACTAGCGCGGCCAACATGGTGAAATCCCGTCTCTACTAAAAATACAAAAATTAGCCACCACACTACAGGTGTGGTGGCACGCACCTGTAGTGCCAGTTTCTGGGAAGGCTAAGGCAGGAGAATCACTTGAACCTGGGAGGCAGCGGTTGCAGTGAGCCAAGATCAGGCCACTGCACTCCAGCCTGGGTGACAGAGTGAGACTCTTTCTCAAAAAAACAAAAACAAAGTACTTTGAAGTAACTGGCATTACATAGCGGTGAGAGTAACTAAACACGGCTTTCCTAAAGAAGAAATGCTTAATAATCAACTAAAGGGGCCGGGCACAGTGGCTCATGCCTGTAATTCCAGCACTTTGGGAGGCCGAGACGGGCGGATCACGAGGACAGGAGATCGAGACCATCGTGGCTAACACGGTGAAACCCCGTCTCTACTAAAAAATACAAAAAATTAGCTGGGCGTGGTGGCGGGCGCCTGTAGTCCCAGCTACTCGGGAGGCTGAGGCAGGAGAATGGCGTGAACCCGGGAGGCGGAGCTTGCAGTGAGCCGAGATCGCGCCACTGCACTCCAGCCTGGGCAACAGAGTGAGACTCCATCTCAAAAAACAAACAAACAAACAAACAAACAAACAAAACAACTAAAGGGTTAAACGTATTAAAGCGTTAATGACTATGAGGCAGAAATGAAGCGCATGTAACTCGCTGAAGCCTTTGTATTCACTAATTCACTCTGGGAAGAAAGAAGGGTGTTTTCATGCTGCTGATAAAGACATAACCGAGACTGGGTAATTTATTTAAAAAAAGGTTTAATGGACTCACAGTTGCACGTGGCTAGAGAAGCCTCACAATCATGGCAGCAGGCAAGAGAGAATGAGAGAGCCAAGTGAAAGTGGAAACCCCTTATAAAATCATCAGATCTTGTGAGACTTATTCACTACCACGAGAACAGCATGGCGGAACCCCCCCCCACCTTCCCCATGGTTCAGTTACCTCCCACCAGGTCCCTCCCACAACATGTAGGAATTATGAGAGCTACAATTCAAGATGAGATTTGGATGGGGACACAGCCAAACCATATCAGCCACCAAAGACACTAGCAATGGACACAGCCACAGCCCTATCCAAGAAGAGAGCAAGAACAGGTAATGCGCAAAATTCTTCTCCCCTGCGGGTACCTCTACTGCTTTCAGTGGAGAGAATGGAAGGTGGGACCTTGTTCTTTATTGCTAAGAGAAGAACAAGCAGAGCTATTCTTCTGAAGCCTGAGACCAAGAGCCAGAAAAAAAGGAAACTCCTATGCAGAACAGCATTGCCCAGCTTCCAAGAGTCTCCTTGTTTGCTTTTCATAGTTGCAACAACAGTGCAAAATGACTACCCTATGTCAATGACAAATGATGCACACTGCGGAGACTGGCAGGATATTGTGTTCATTTGAGGGGCCTCTAATCTCCTGGCATTCTCTGGGGACACCACAGGAGAACTACAGAAGGATTATCATAACTCTTAAAGAATCATCTCTGCTCAATGTTTAAGTGAGAACAGGATCACAGACAGCATTTAGTACAATGGATGGCCCATAGCAGGATTCTGTAAATGTTTATGGATGGATGGATAAGTGAACTTGACTGGAAAGAATGTACGTATTTTAGAGCTGCTTTGAGTCTCAAAACACAGGTGAACAGATTTAGAATATGTACTCTCTGGTAGCATTAACAGAAGAATGAACAACTGGCAACGTCTTTTGCACTGTGAAAACTCACTTGCCTTCTTGGTTATGGCAAATCACAGCATTCCGGGGATGATGGTTGTTCATTTTCCCTGTCTCAGTTTCTGTTGGCCTGGGAGAACTCAGAATTACTTAGATGCTCGGTTTCCAAAAAAAAAGTAATAACACTTTTTAAATTGGAACACACTAAGTATAAAGATGTGTTCTCTAAGTGCTCAAAGTTACTTTTACCAACAAGCTGTGGAGCAATCCAGTATAAACCTATTACAAACACAAAATTAGCTGTCCTTCCTTTGAAATTATTTTTCACTTCATAGGTAAAGTCTCTATGGCACTTGCTATTTTATTCTTGAGTTCTTGTTTAGGTATCAGATGAAGTTAAACCTTTACCTCTTGGCTTGCTCTTTTTATTTTTTGAGAGGGTCTCGCTCTGTTGCCCAGGCTAGAGTGCAGTGGCATGATCGTGGCTCACTGCAGCTTCAGCCTCCCAGGTACAAGTGATCCACCTCGCTCAGCCTCCTGAGTAGCTGGGACCACAGAAATATGCCATCTCACTTCACTAATTTTTTTATTTTTAATAGAGACGAGGTATTGATATGTTGCCCAGGCTGGTCTCAAACTCCTGGGCTCAAACGATCCTCCTGACTCGGTCTCCCAAAGTGTTAGGATTATAGGCATGAGTCACTGCACCTGTTAATTTGTCACTGACACGTGATAATCATTTTATGCCACGGTTGCAAATATGGAAAGCAAACCAAGGAAACTATTGGGGCCAGGGCAGTACTTTTCTGCTCAGAAGTTTCTCTTTTTTCTGGCCCTTGGTCTGATGCTTCAGGAGAACAGCTCTGCTTATTCATTTTTTTTTTGTTTTGTTTTGAGACAGGGTCTCTCTCTGTCATCCAGACTGGAGTAAAGTGGCATGATTATAGCTCACTGCAACCTCTGACTCCCAGGCTCAAGTGATCCTCCCACTGCAGCCTCCCTAATAGCTGGGACTACAGGTGTATACCACCATGCCCAGGTAATTTGTGTATGTTTTGTAGAGACAGGGTTTCACCATGTCCCCCAGGCTGGTCTTCAACTCCTGGGCTTAAGTGATCCACCTTCCTCAGCTCCTCAAAGTGCTGGGATCACAGGCATGAGCCACTGCACCTGGCCAGTTTAGTCTTTAGGTAACTTATTTCGTACAGTTTTCATTATGCATTAATATGAAAATGTTCTTTTATTACATTTGATTATCAGCTTTTATTATTTCATTACTATATAGTACTTATTATCAGTTTATTATTATATATTAGTATTTATTGTTCTATTATTTATTGTTATTAGACATAATTGTAGATTAAAAATCAAGAACTTGGAATGTTTAAATGTACATATACTTACTTGCCATAAAAATGGAAATTATATTATATGTCTTGACATTGCTTAGAAAAATATGTTTTTCTCTCTTGTTCACGTATATTAGAAACACAAATAATTCCTGATTCAATAGGCTAATTCTCTAATTCAATAGGTTAATTTTTTTTTTTTGAGAGTCTCATTCTGTTATCCAGGCTGGAGTGCAGTGGCGTGATCTTGGCTCATTGCAACCTCTGCCTCCCGGGTTCAAGCAATTCTCATGTCTCAGCCTCCTAAGTATCTGGGATTACAGGTGTGCACCACCACGCCTGGCTAATTTTTTGTATTTTTAGTAGAGATGGAGTTTTGCCATGTTGCCCAGGCTGGTCTTGAACTCCTAGCCTCAAGCAATCCACCCACCTCAGCCTCCCAAAGTGTTGGGATTACAGGCGTGAGCCACCGTGCCTGGCAGGTTAATTTTGTATTTATACGAATAATAGTAGTTATAAAGTATGTTCTGTGCCACCAAAAATTAATGTTAACTTACTGTATTTCAAAAATGGATTAGAAGTGGAGTTGGTTGACCATGGAATTTCTGTAATTTAAAATAAAAGTGGATGCTATTTCACTGTACTCCAAAAAATTGTCTCCCTCACAAAAAAATAGACACAGACGGGATGACATAATGCTTTCTGAACATATCACTATTTCCCCAAGAGGAAGAAAAGCTAAAACTTTACCAACTGCATAAATGTGACACAGCTGATATGCCAGAAGCACATATTTGGGCAAATCACTTAGTCTGAGGACCTCAGTTTTCTCATTAATAAAACAAGGGAGTGGAACAAAGTGATTTCTAAGCTTCCTTCCAGATACAAGTTCTATGAGTCTATGTGGAAAGATGTTACATGGGCTCTAAATGACCTCTCCAGAAGCTTCTCCATTTGTTCACATCTGTTTAAATATTACATGAACAGGGATATATGTATAGTAGAAAATCAGACAGACCATTTTGTTACAAGGAATGTGAAAACCATTGATATCTTTCTTTATATGAATTTTTTCTGATGTCCCATTAGGCAAACCATACTTAAATGAACCATATTCCAGTATTTACTTTACTATAAACTTAGTATAAACAACAGATTATTACTAACAGATGCATGAAATAAAAATACTTCACAACCCAGAAGTTCCAGATTGTTAATTATTTATTATCATTCTTCATACTGCTTGTGAGTAAGAATAGAGGCGCAAGTATACAATAATGGTGTCTTTATAGTAGCCTTCAAATACGTGATGCTGACTGCCTAAGCAACTGAAAACGGCTGGCTATATCCCAAATAAAAGTTCATATAATCCACTATCTAGGCATATATGTATTATATATATGTATATATGTGTGTCTGTATATATGCACAATTTTTAGTTTCCAATAATCACAACACAACTACAGAAACTACTCTGAAAATTTTGTGCCAACTTAACCAAGAATAATTTTATTCTTTAGTAGATGGTGAAATAAGTGTTAAAAAAAATCAATAACCTGGCCAGGTGCAGTGGCTCATGCCTATAATCCCAGCACTTTGGAAGGCTGAGGCCGAAGAATCACTTGAGCCCAGGAATTCAAGATCAGCCTGGGCAACACAGTGAGACCCCACCTGGACAACATATTGAGACCCCATCTCTATTATATTAAAAAATAAGAAGAAATGGCTGGACGCAGTGGCTCACGCCTGTAATCCCAGTAATTTGGGAGGCTGAGGCAGGCAGATCACTTGAGGTCAGGAGTTTGAGACCAGCCTGGGCAACATGGTGAAACTCCGTCTCTAAAAAAGTACAAAAATTAGCCGGGTGTGAGGGCATGCCTGTAATCCCACCCACTTGGGAGGCTGAGGCAGGAGAATCACTTGAACCTGGGTGGTGGAGGTTGCAGTGAGCCAAGATCATGCCACTGCACTCCAGCCTGGGTGACAGAGCAAGACACTGTCTCAAAATAATAACAATAATAATAAATGAGGAAGAAGTAGAAGTAGAAGAAGAAGAGGAAGAGGAAAAGGAAGGAGAAGGAGAAGGAGAAGGAGAATCATCATCAGCAGCAGCAGCAGGAGAAGAAGAAGAGGAAGAAGGAGGAGGAGGAGGAGAGAAAACAAAAAGTCACAGCTGGGCGCAGTAGTTCATGCCTGTAAATCTCAGCACTTTGGGAGGCTTAGACAGATGGAGTGCTTGAGGTCAGGAGTTCAAGACCAGCCTGACCAACATAGTAAAACCCCATCTCTACTAAAAATACAAAAATTAGCTGAGCTGAGCGTGGTCATGCACACCTATAGTCCTAGCTACTTGGGAGGCTGAGGCAAGAGCACTGCTTGAGCCTGAGAGATGCAGGTTGCAATGAGCCGAGATCATGCCACTGCACTCCAGCCTGGGTGACAGAGTGAGACTCAATCTCAAAAAAAAAAAAACAAAAAAAGTCAATAATCTGCTTGGCTTTTTTCAGTGCTTTCAAAAACTGTGATATTATATATATGTATATGTATATATATGTGTGTGTGTGTGTGTGTGTGTGTGTATCCCACTGGTGGTTCAAACTGATTTTAGGTGATATATGGGCATTTAAAACTTTTTTAAACAAGTTGTTATTTATTTTAATGTGTTTTAGAAAAAAGAAAGTAATCAACATTGCAAGCCTGTGATTTCATAGATATTATTGTTTAGGATGGAGCTAAAGTAAAAAAAGTGGATTGGTTTAAAGAAAAACTATTAAGTAATTAGTGGTAAAGGTAGTACACAGGCATAGCCAACACTCTGGAAGATGATACGAGCATAAATCAAGTTTCACAAGAACTGATGAAAATTATACTGAGTTTCCAAAAATTAAAGGGCTTAGCAACATCTCCACAATGTCTTGTAACGAATTCATTTTATTTCATCTATGAAAGAAATCCTTTTCTGGGGGGTAATAACCCTCCCAACACATCAGATATATAGACTGACTTCTAATTAGGCAGAGAAAACTACTGTCCAATTTTATTTTATTTATTTATTTACTTTTGAGATGGAGTCTCACTCTGTTGTGCAGGCTGGAGTGCAGTGGCACAATCTTGGCTCACTGCAACCTCTGCCTCCCGGGTTCAAGTGATTCTCCTGCCTCAGCCTCCTGAGTAGCTGGGATTACAGGAGTGCACCACCACACCCAGCTACTTTCTTTTGTATTTTTAGTAGAGACAGGGTTTAGTAATGTTGGCCAGGCTGGTCTCAAACTCCTGATCTCAAGTGATCCACCCACCTTGGCCTCTCAAAATGCTAGGACTACAGGCGTGAGCCACCACGCCCAGCATATTAGCCAATTTTAACTCTCAAACCTTGTGATGGTTAATATTGAGTGTCAACTTGATGGACTGAAGGATGCAAAGTATAGTTCCTGAGTATGTCTGTGAGGGTGTTGGCAAAGATTAACATTTGAGTCAGTGGACGGGGAGTGGCAGACCCACCTTCATTCTGGGTGGGCACCATCTAATCAGCTGCCAGTGCAGCTAGAGTAAAGCAGGCAGGAGAAGATGACAGAGCAGGCTTGCTGAGCCTTCTGGACTTCATCTTTCTCCCATGCTGGAGGCTTTCTACCCTCAAACATTAGACTCCAAGTTCTTCAGCTTTCGGACTCTTGTACTTACACCAGCGGTTTACCAGGGGCTCTTGGGCCTTTGGTCACAGACAGAATTTTAAGGATGGAGTTCTTTAGTGCGTTTTGGGGTTTCTGGAGTTGACTGCTTAATCTAACGACATCCAAAAATGCTAAGTACTCTACTTCTAATAGTATGGAGAACGCTGATAGTCCTTAGTGCAAACTGTTTAAAGAGTTATGCAAAATAGATGCATTTGATACTCCTGATTCACCACTCATGAGGGGCAAGGGGTTTAGTGACTCTGTACATAATACCTTTGACCATATGTGGAGAACCAAGGAATACAATAAAGTTGGTTGGTTGCTACTTAGTTCGCTGGACAAGGTAATGAAAGCAAAGGATGAGTTCAGGGATTCTAACGTCCAGCTCCAGAAGCACATACTGAGCCTCTTCTAAGATTGCCCTGAAGGAGAGTCTTATCTCCTGTAGACAAAGGGCTGAAATTGTGGAAAATCAGACACAAGCTTTTATCATGTGAGTGGCTGATCTGCAATGAAAGGTGGATGCTCAGTCTCATCAGATGTCTCCTGTCAAAGTGAGGGCATTGACTGGAAAAGAATGGGACCCTGCAACTTGGAATGGGGACATGTGGGATGACCCAGATGAAACTGGGGACACCGAGCTTATAAACTCTTATGAGCCTTTTTATTTTCTTTAACCAGAGGAAACAGCTTCCCCATCCCCAGTGATGGCAACATCCCCTCTTCCACCCATACTGCCATCAGCCTTTCCACCTTTGTCTGAGGAGATTAACCATGCACTACCTGAGGCAACAGTGATGGCCTCTCCTGAGGCAGTTGCCAGGCAAGACAATGTCAATTCTCCTCAGGACCCACTCCCAATACCCGTTTGCTTCTAGATATGTAACTAGACTAAAGTCCCAGTAGGCCCCTAGAGATGAGGTTCAGAGTATGACCCATGAGGGGGTGCGCTACATTCCAGAAGAATTGCTTTACTTTTCTGACTTATATAGGCAGAAATCTGGAGAACAGGCATGGGAATGGATATTAAGGGTGTGAGATAATGGTGGATGGAACATAAAGTTGGATCAGCCTGAACTTACTGATTTGGGCCCACTAAGCAGGGATTCTGCATTTAATGTTGCAACTCAGGGTGTTAGAAAAGGTTCTAAGAGTTTATTTGTTTGGTTAGCTGAAATGTGAATCAAAAGATGACCCACTGTGTGTGAGCTAGAAATGCCTGATTTCCCTTGGTTTAAGGTAGAGGAAGGGATCCAAGGGCTTAGGGAGATTAAGATGCTAGAGTGGATTAGTCACTTTAGACCTACCCATCCCAGCTGGGAGGGCCCAGAAGATATGTCCTTCACCAATACCTTGTGAAATAGATTTGTGAGAGGAGCACCTGCATCCTTGAAGAGCTCTGTGATTGCTCTTCTTTGTATGCCAGATCTTACAGTGGGAACACCAGTCACTCAACTACAAAATTTAAATGCAGTGGGAATAACTGGATCCTAAAGTGGCAGAGGGCAAGTGGCAACACTCAACCATCAAAGACAAGGTGGGCATTGTTACTGTAATGGACAGCAGAAGCAAAGAGGCGGAGGTTGCAGTGAGCCGAGACTGCACCACTGCACTGTACCCTGGGCGACGGAGTGAGTGAGACTCCGTCTCAAAAAAAAAAAAAAAAAAAAAGAAAATTATTGTTGAAACCCTTATCCAAGAGTAGCTGGAAGAACATCTTTTAATAGAGTTTTAGCTCAGGTCTGAAATACAGTGGGTCCAGTGGGTCCCTGGACTCACCATGTGGTAATTTCCCTAGTACCAGAATGCAGAATTGGCTTAGACATACTTAGCACCTGGCAGAATCCCCACAGTGGCTCCCTGAATGGTAGAGTGAGGGCTACTATGCTGGGAAAGGCCAAATAGAAGCCATTAGAGCTGCCTCTACCTAGAAAAATGGTAAATCAAAAACAATATTGCATCCCTGGAGGGACTGCAGAGATTAGTGCCACCATCAAGGACGTGAAAGACGCAGGGGTGGTGATTCCCACCACATCCCTGTTCAACTCTCCTATTTGGCCTGTGCAGAAGACAGACGGATCTTAGAGAATGACAGTGGATTATTGTAAGCTTAACCAAGTGGTGACTCCAATTGCAGCTGCTGTACCAGATGTGGTTTCATTGCTTGTGAAAATTAATAAATCTCCTGGTACCTAGAATGCAGCCACTGACTTGGCGAATGCCTTTTTCTCCATTCCTATCCATAAGGCACACCAGAAGCAATTTGTCTTCAGATGGCAAGGCCAGCAATATACCTTTACTGTCCTACCTTAAGGGTATATCATCTCTCTGGCTTTGTGTCATAATCTTGTTCAGAGGGACCCCGATCGCTTTTTCCTTCCATGACTTATCACACTGGTCCATTACATTGATGACATTATGCTGATTGTACCCAGTGAATGAGAAGTAACAAACACACCAGACTTATTGGTGAGATATTTACATGCCAGGGGATGGGAAATAAATCCGACTAAAATTCAGGGGCCTTCCACCTCAGTAAAATGTCCAGGGGTCCAGCGGTGTGGGGCCTGTCGAGATATTCCTTTTAAGATGAAGGACAAGTCGCTGCATTTGGCCCCTCCTACAACCAAGAAAGAGGCACAATGCTTAGTGGGCCTATTTAGACTGTTGGAGGTAACACGTTCCTCATTTGCGTGTGTTACTCCCACCCATTTATCAAGTGACCTGAAAGGCTGCCAGTTTTGAGTGGGGTCCAGAACAGAAGAAGGCTCTGCAACAGGTCCAGGCTACTATGCAAGCTCCTCTGCCACTTGGACCATATGACCCAGCAGATCCAATGGTGCCCAAGTTGTCAGTGGCAGACAGGGATGCTGTTTGGAGCCCTTGGCAGGCTCCCATAGGGGAATCACAGCAGAGGCTTCTGGGATTTTGGAGCAAGGCCCTGCCATCTTCTGCAGATAACTAGTGTCCTTTTGAGAGACAGCTCTTGGCCAGTTACTGGGCTTTGGTAGAAACTGAACGTTTAACTATGGGTCATCAAGTCACCATGTGACCTGAACTGCTTATCATGAACTCAGTGCTTTCTGACCCATCCAACCAGAAAGTAGGGTGTACACAGCAGCATTCCATCATCAAATGGAAGTGGTATATAAGTGATTGGGCTCGAACGGGTCCTGAAGACACAAGTAAGTTATGTGAGGAAGTGGCTCAAATGCCCATGGTCTCCAATCCTGCCACCCTGCCTTCTCTCCCCAGCCTGCACCAATGGTATCATGGGGAGTTCCCTATGATCAGTTGACAGAGGAAGAGAAGACTAGGATCTGGTTCACAGGTGGTTCTGCACAATATGCAGGCATGAATATATGCAGGCATATATATAAATACGATGTATGGTGTAAAGAATATGGACCAAGACCTTATAGTCAGAGATAGTATAGCCACTTACAAAGCTTTCGCATATTTATAGATAAAAGGTCTAAAATTTAATACATCATTCTTTGTATAGAAACAACTTATAAAAAATTGTCCTTAATGCTAATGTGAAATTGTTATGTTATATAGTAATAATGAATGTAAACCTATTTTGACCAAGTTATTACTAACACAAAAATAAAAACAGAGAAGTGAAAACAGGTTAACAAAAAAACTGGTGTCACTACATAATGCATTACGAAAATTCCACATAAAAAATATTTTACAGGCTTAGTGCAGTGGTTCACACCTGTAATCTTAGCACTTTGGGAGGTTGCGGCTGGAGGATCACTTGAGGCCAAGAGTTCAAGACATTGACCTGAGCAACACAGTGACACCTTATCTCTACAAAAGTAAAAAAAAAAAAATTAGGTGTGGCATGTGCCTGTCGTCTCAGCTATTTGAGAGGCTGAGGTGGGAGGATCGCTTGAGCCCAATAGTTCAAGGCTGCAGTGAGCTATGATGGCACCACTGCACTCCAGCCTGGGCAAGAGAGCAAGACTCTGACTCAAAAAAAAAAAAAAAAAGAAAAGAAAAAAAGGCCGGGTATGCTATCTCATACCTGTAATTCCAGCACTTTGGGAAGCCAAGGGAGGCAGATCGCCTGAAGTCAGGAGTTCAAGACCAACCTGGCTAACATGGCAAAACCCTGTCTCTACTAAAAATACAAAAATTAGCTGGGCATGGTAGCGCACGCCTGTAATCCCAGCTCCTTGGGAGGCTGAGGCATGAGAATTGCTTGAACCCAGGAGGCAGAGGTTGCAGCAAGCCGAGATTGCACCAATGCACTCTCGCCGAGTCAACAGAGGGAGACCCTGTCTCAAAAAAACAAAACAAAACAAAACAAACAAACAAACAAACAAAAATGTCTTACAATCTTGGTGGTCTATCAAAATAGAAAAGAAAGAATTAAGAAATTAAGCGTTTTGACCTCACCATGGCAACAATAACGAGTAGCAACAGTCCATGAAATGTTTCTAATGCTAAGAAACTGCATATGTTCTTTAATATATATAACAAATCTAACAATTAAATTCAATACACAAATGGGACTATGTAGAGTCTTCATGGAGAACATTTTAAACTTGAACTTCTAACTTGAAATAGTTTGATCTCTCTATCTAACTACACTAACAGGCAAAGAGTGAAAAGATAACACTTGAGAGGAATGATCATCAACAAGGGGCACTGCACCAGCCTGATCAACATGGTGGAAACACGTCTCTAGTAAAAATACAAAAAATTAGCCAGGCATTGTGGTGCACGCCTTTAATCTCAGCTACTCAAGAAGCTGAGGCACAAGAATCACTTGAACCCGGGAGGTGGTGGAGGTTGCAGTTAGCCAAGATCACACTGCTACACTCCAGCCTGGGCGACAGACCAACTCTATCTCAAAAAAAAAAAAAAATGTTGGGGGTGGGGTGGCGTGCATTGCACCTCTATTTGTAAGAGCCTTCTCCCCACCCCCGAACATTCAAGATCAACTATGGTTGCAAGTCAAAGTCTCAGTAATGTCAGTATTGGAAATAGCAAATTCTTTACCACTTATGCACTGAGCTGCTCCGAAATATCTGGCACACAGGAGAAAGAGAAACACTCTTGAAGATGCACTTTACTAAATGATAACGGGGCAAGCTCAAAGCAGCACCAAAGCAAAAGGGAATCATCTATGCCAGGCCTGACACTTATGCAGAAATGTGAGCGAGACTCACAGGCCCAGGACAACTTCTCATCCTAGATATGGAGGCTGAGAGGACTTGGATGGGCTTTGGCCATGTCAGCCCCTCAGGAGGCAGTGTCCTCTGAAGACCACCCAGGAGACAGCATGGCTTCCTTGGTGTCAGCCTGTAGGATCCTTCCTACAACAGCAGGGAATGTTTTCAGAGAAGACATTGGGCAGAAGGCACTAGCCACGCATGGTGCATCAGTGCATCGGAGACAAGTGGCCTCTTTGTAAGTTTCTGTGTTCACCGGATTTGTGCCATGGCTAATAGGCTCTGAAATCAAAGACTGAGCTTGGAGACACTGCAGCCTGAGAGCCTGGGAAATGCTAACTGGGAGAAAGGCACTGACTCATGGAAGTAATAGACATGTCATATGCCAGAGAAGCATAAATAAAAAATGTCTCAAATAATCTAGGCCAAAACTAGGAAAGATACTCTTCCAGCTACTCTTGGATAAGGGTTTCAATAATAATTTTCTTTTTTGTTTTTGAGATGGAATCTCACTCACTCTGTCGCCCAGGCTAGAGTGCAGTGGCACGATCTAGGCTCACTGCAACCTTCGCCTCCCAGGTTCAAGCCATTCTCCTGCCTCAGCCTCCTGAGTAGCTGTGATTACAGGCAGGAGCCACCACGCTCAGCCTCAACAACACTTTTCTACAGAGCGATTGGTAGTTAAAACCATACTCGACTTAATATTGTCTAACATAGGCATGCATACCTCATTTAATGTGTCCCTTATATAGGTATCGAATTTTGCCTCACAGGAGGCCATATATTTCACTCATTTATTCTCCTTTTTAAAAAATAACTTTTATTTAAACTTTTTAATATGGACATTCTCAAAAATTCGCTAATGTAGAGAGTGCAGTGTAGTGAACCCCTACTCATCCATCACACAGCTTCAATAATACATTTCCACTTAAAACAGTTTTAAAGAGAAAAGTGTTTTACAGCCCATTCAAAACCCCAAGTTTTACTTATATACTCTTACATACCCATGTAACAACCCTCTAATATTTCTGACTACCAATTTACTACGTAAGATTCTTTTAAGGATTAAAAAAAACCCTATTATTCTATTCTGAGGGAACATTGTAAAAGCTCGTCAGAAGCAAAGATAGTATGCATTATAGATATGGACAGATAATGTCAAACTGAGGCCTTCTGTGCCTTCACATTCCCCAATATTTCTTTGAATATAAGAGCTTTGCTAGCTGGTTGTGGTGGCTCATGCCTGTGATCCTAGCATTTTGGGAGGCCGAGGTGGGAGGATCACTTGAGCCTTGGAGTTGGAGACGAACCTGGGCAACAGAGTGAGACCCCATCTCTAAAAAAAAATGTTTTTAAATTAACCAGGTGCATCCCTGTGCCAGGAGCCAACCTGGTCTTCCCGAGGGGTAGTGCCCCAGTGAAGACAAAAGCACGAGAATAAAGTTCCCTGTAGGTCCTCTGTCCAAAAAAAAAAAACCAGGCGTGGTATTGAGGTATTGAGCACCTGTAATCCAGCTACTCAGGAGGATCGCTTTAGCCCAGAAGCTCAAGTGAGCTATGATCACCACCACACTCCGGCCTGGGTGACAGAGCAAGACACCGTCTCAAAAAAAAGAAAAGAGGCCGGGTGCGGTGGTTCATGCCTGTAATCCCAGCACTTTGGGAGGCCGAGGCGGGTAGATCACGAGTCAAGAGATTGAGACCATCCCGGCCAACATGCTGAAAATATACTAAAAATATAAAAGTTAGCTGGGCATGGTGGCACGTGCCTATAGTTCCAGCTACTCGGGAGGCTGAGGCAGGAGAATCGCTTGAATTCGGGAGGCAGAGGTTGCAGTCAGCCGAGATCGCGCCAATGCACTCCAGCATGGCAACAGAGCGAGACTCCATCTCAAAAAAAAAAAAAAAAGAAAAAGTTTTTAGCTTCCTAGGCTCACATCTTTTCTCACAGACCTTTCTGTTTTCAGTTGATAGTATCGTGATAATTGTAAGACACAACATATTTAAGCAAGATGAGCACAAGATACCACTTTATAGAAAGAGCAGATAGGACCACAGCATACTCTAGCGATCCTCTGGCCCTTTTTGATGGTACACGTAAGTACATGGACTCATCATAGTAAGTTTCTGATTCGGAGAGGAAATTTTTGGTAAAAATATGTGCGAGTTGTTACAGCAAATATTTGGATGTTTGTCATTCAGACTGCAAGGTACGCTTGATTATGTACATTTTTTTCTTAACTGCTTGATGAACTCTATCCAAGTCATTTAATAATGTTGCTTCCCTTTTTACCTAATTACATAAATGTTTAAAGTCACGAGCATTAAGCTCTCCTCCAAGTAATGTTAGTTAAAAAGAAGTTCCTGAACTGAGGAGATTCTCCAAAGATGTGTAGTCATCACTTGGAAGGTCAAATTTAACAATCAAAGAAAATAACTCCAAAAACAGTAGCTTCCAAACAGACCATTACTATTGCAGTGGAGCATTTTGGGCTCAGTTGTATCTCCCTGCAAAATTTGTCTGTTGCAGCCCGAACCCTCAGCACCTTAGGATGTGGTTGTATTTGCAGATAGTCTTTACAGAAGTAATTAAGTTAAAAGGGGGTTGTTAGGGTAGGTCTCAATCCAATAGGACTGGTGTCCCTATAAAAGATCAATACCCAGACATGCATAAAAGGGAAGACGGCCATCCACAAGCCAAAGAGAGAGACCTCAGAAGAGGCCAACACTGCTGACACCTTGATCTGGGACTTCCAGCTGCCAGAGCTGTGAGAAAATAAATGTCTGTTGTTAAAGCCACCCAGTTTGTGGTATTTTGTGATGGCAGCCCTAGGAAGACAAACATAGTGAGTAATCAAGGTCATCTAATCTAAGCTACAGAAATGGCCCTTAATTACACCTGGGGGCTCTACATTTTATTTCATCTTATTTTTATTGTTTTTGAGACAGAGTATCACTCTGTCACCCAGGCTGGTATGCAGTGGCACAATCTTGGCTCACTGCAACCTTCGCCTCCCGGGTTCAGGCGATTCTCCTGCCTCAACCTCCTGAGTAGCTGGACTTACAGACGTATGCCTGGCTAATTTTTGTATTTTTAGTAGAGATGGGGTTTCGCCATGTTGGCCAGGCTGGTATCGAACTCTTGACCTCAAGTGGTCCGCCTGCCTTGGTCTCCCAAAGTGCTAGGATTACAGGCATGAGACACCACGCCTGGCCTGCAGGCTCTGAATTTATAAAGTGAGAAGAAAATCTGTCAAAAGAGCTGGCCAGGCACATGCAAGTCAACCTAATTCTTATTTACTTATTTAATAGAGATGGGAGTCTCACTGTTGCCCAGGCTGGTCTTGAACTCCTGAGCTCAAGCAATCCTCCCGCCTTGGCCTCCCAAAGTGCCGGGATTACAGCATGAGCCACCGTGCATGGCCAACCTAACACTTTTAAACAAATTCTGATGGCAATCAGATGACAGCTCAGGGCATGGGCTCTGACCAAATAAATCTTTATTTCAATTTCTCAATTACATGGTCGGGCTTTATCTGTCCTCCAAACTGTTAGAGAGCAAGACTGATAACATCTAACCTTTCAGATATGCAAGAATGTAGGAGATGAGACATGTCGAATTGTCAAGGCATAAACATGAGATAACTTTGAGAATTTATGAAAATTTAAAAAATGTTTTTAAAAATCAACAAACAAATAATTTGGAAAATAGTAAGCCACATCAGGAAAGAAATTTTGTGGGTACACAGTAACACCAAGGATTTTGTGGTCGCAATGGGCTTTCAGTTACATAAAAGAGCACGAAATTAACAATATTTACCAATATTCTCTTCAAAGTGCTCTTCACACACCAAATAATTACCCAATTAAGCCACTGCAAGATAAGTTGCTATTACTCTGGATTTAGTAAAAAGAACTAATAATTACTCTTTTAACAGTTTCTGTGAAGAAAGAACTCAGTGTTTACCATACACAAGTGAGCACATCCCACCCGTTTAATAAGTAGGGAACAGGAAAAAAAAAAAGGCTGATTATGTAAGTGAATTCAGTGGAGGACACAGATGACTAAGAACCACAACCTGTGAAAACAGAGAATTTAATATGTAAAGCAGAGACCACCATTGGCAAAAGGCTATTTATGAATACTGCCAATACTTAGCATTGCCAGCTGACAATAGAAGATCTTCGGTCATGCCCCGAACAACATAATTCATCACACTAGTGCTTGGGCCAGTCACGTCCAAGCAATTTATCATCATCATATCACTCGCCTGACTATAATAAGGGGAGAACTTTGATTGTTAACCTCTAGGGAGACTGGATTTATAGCCAGTGTCCCCTAAGAATGCAGCACAGCTCTGTCCAAAGCACAATGCTCCCGGCTTGCCTTCTGTTTAACTCAGAATAAAAGAGTGAACACACTGCCCCTAGGACATTAACAGCAAAACCTAAGTCTGATACTCTTAGATCCGAAATCAGATAGCCAGGAAATCATATTTAAAATACTCTTTGAAGCTGCCTGAAAAAAAACGTATTAGTCAATGGTAAGTACGGATGATTCATTTCAAATGTCCTTCAGTGACAAAATAATTTCTGAAATGTATCCACTGATAACTGCATTTGGGAAGAATCATCTTTTCACAACTCACCCACGAACATTCCTCTGTATTGGAAAACTTGGAAGTGCACTGAAAATTGTTAAAAATATATAAATTGTGTTTTTCAAAGTAAAAATGAAAGCCTTGATTCTTATCCCTTCCAGGCATACAGCCTTTACCTATTTTACACTTTAACATGGTCTGCCCTTACAGAATGCAATTAAACATCTAAACGCCATTTTTGCCACTCTTGATTAAAATCACAAAGCAGACTGGAGCATGATGGGAACAGCACACCTGCCATCTCCCACACAGTAAAAGGAGCATGATTCATAGGACAAGCCTCTTTCAGGGCCCTCCCCACAGCTCCCAAGGTATCTGGTAAACCAGAGCCAGAAATCCCCGCATACATGCAGCTTATCTGATAATATTCATTACGCAGGCTTGACCAGGCTAGGCCACAGTAACACTCAAATCCCCGAATCTCAGGGTCTGACCACAACAAAAGTTTATTTCTAGCTCATCGAATACGTCTAACACAGGAAGGCAGGGGGCTCCGCTCACTGTCCTCTATGACCCAGGCTGAGACCACTGCCTCTATCTGGATGGTCACTGCGGCAGAGGGAAAGTGATTGTGACAAATCTTTCACTGGCTTTTAACACAGTTTTACCTGGAAGTGACACAGGTCACTCCACTTGCGTTTCGTTAGCCAAACAAGTCACGTGGACATACCTGCCTGGAAGGAGACAGGGAAATGGCTAACATTCACAGCTCTCACGCTGAGCAGGCACAGAGGTATTTGTACTCAGGTGGTTATTGTTTTGACAAAATAGGTACAACCACAGAGCCAGTTTATGCCAAATGGAACCAGATATTTTATTTTTCTTATTCTTTTTTCTTTTTCTTTTTTTTAAGAGATGATGTCTATGAATGAGAAGCCTTTTGTTATAAAAGTGTTATTAAGGGCCGGGCGTGGTGGCTCATGCCGGGAGGCTGAGGCAGGTGGATCACCTGAGGTCAGGAGTTCAAGAGCAGCCTGATCAACATGATGAAACCCCGTCTCTACCAAAAATACAAAAAAATTAGCTGGGCGTGGTGGTGCATGCCTATATTTCCAGCTAGTTGGGAGGCTGATGCAGGAGAATCACTTAAACCTGGGAGGCAGAGGTTGCAGTGAGTCAAGATAGGGCCACTGCACTCCAGTCTGGGCAATAGAGTGAGACCCTGCCACAAAAAAAAAAAAAAAATCTTGTTAGGAAAACCTGGACCACTGAAAATACACTAGAAACAACAGCTAAAGAAAACAGAACAAAGCCACATTTGATGTATGAAAATATATTCAACAACTACCTCAGTCAAGTTCATAGGGATACTGAGCAGACTCGAGCTTGATCAGAAATTCTCAATATTATTACTATATGGCTTACTAGGGCATTTAATAGATTTGAAGTTGGCTGGCTGCCGTGGCTCACGCCTGTAATCTCAACAGTTTGGGAGGCCGAGGTGGGAAGATCACTTGAGCCCAGGAGTTTAAGACCAGCCTGGGCAACAAAACAAGACCCCCCATCTCTACAAAAATAAATAAACTAATAAATATTTTAAAAAGAAGATATTTAAGGATAAACATTCCTCCTGTATGAATGGGTCCTGTATGTATGTATGTCCTGTATGAACACTTTGCACATGGAAGCAAAGGTGGACATTTACCAAGCTCCTCTCATGCTATACAGTTCATCATTTTGTCTTTAAGCTTAAAACTGAGACAATCTCTAAAATTCTTGCATCAGGGCTGCTTACTCAACTTAAAATAGTCACAGGGATCCTATGGCCAAGTCCTGGCACTGAGTACACGGTCATGTACTTCTCCAGATTCTAAATGATCTATTTTTGTGTTCTCTTACTCTCTGCTTCTATTTGGCTCAAAATTTACTGACACTTCAAAGGATATTAAATTGCATTTTTTTTCAGAAATGCTTCTCACTTTAGCCATATTGAAGGTATTTTCTGTCCTTCACAGGGAAGGGGAAATTTGCCCAGTGAAACTGATCTTTCCCTAAGTCCCTCCAGAAAAGCCACTGTCCTGATTTTCCTCCTGTCTCACTAGCCACCTTCTGGCTGGATACTCCGCTACTGACCTCCAAAATACACATTTATTGATCTTTGATTGAATAAACAGACCCTTCCTGACTACCTTGTAATTTCAGCAGCAAATATGACCCAAAACTGGAAGACCCTCTCAATCTATTCTGGTTTGAGGGCTGCCCAATTAAAAAGGAAAAAAACTGGCCCAAAATATCATTAAATGGTAAAATCAGGATCTTATCCTCATAAATCCATAGATTATTACATCCACTAGCGACCTAGAGACCACTTACCTTTTTTTTTTTTTTTTTTGAGACAGAGTCTTGCTCTGACACCCAGGCTGGAGTGCAGTGGTGTGATCTCAGCTCACAGCCGCCTCTGCCTCCCAGGTTCAAGCAATTCTCGTGCCTCAGCCTCTCCAGTAGCTGGGATTACAGGCATGCCCACCACCATGCCCAGCTAATTTTTTGAAGAAAAGAGGTTTCACATGTTGGCCAGGCTGGTCTCGAACTCCTGGCCTCAAGTGATCCACCTGCCTCAGCCTCCCAAAGTGCCGGGATTACAGGTGTGAGCCACCGCGCCTGGCCTGAGACCACTCACCTTAATGTGTCTAGAAAACAGGCAGGCCAGGCGCAGTGGCTCACGCCTGTAATCCTAGCACTTTGGGAGGCCGAGGCAGCCAGATCATTTGAGCCCAGGAGTTTGACACCAACCTGGACAAAATGGCAAAACCCCGTCTCTACCAAAAATACAAAAAAAAAAACAAAAAACAGAAAATAAAAACTAGCCGGGCGTGGTGGTGTGCACCTGTGGGAGACTGAGCTGGGAGGATCACTTGAACGGGGGAAGTGAAGGTTGCAGTGAGCTGTGATAGCACCACTGCACTCCAGCTTTGGTGAAATAATGAGACCTAGTCTTAAAAAGCAAGAGGCCGGGCGCGGTGGCTTACGCCTGTAATCCCAGCACTTTAGGAGGCCGAGGTGGGTGAATCACAAGGTCAGGAGTTCGAGATCAGCCTGGCCAGTATGGTGAAACCCCGTCTCTACTAAAAATACAAAAATTAGCTGTGTGTGGTGGAGCGCGCCTGTAGTCCCAGCCACTCAGAAGGCTGAGGCAAGAGAATCGCTTGATCCCGGGAGGCGGAGGTTGCAGTGAGCCGAGATCGCACCACTGCACTCCAGCCTGGGCAAGGGCGAGACTCTGTCTTTAAAAAAAGCAAAAGAAAACCAACTTGTAGAAAGTCACTGAGCTGGAACCAGAACTAGAATAGGGCTCTACTCTTTCTGGGTCCAAAGTTCTTTAAATCAGCAACCCCTCTTACTGCCTATGTAAGGGTATACCTTTAGTTCCTGTTGACTTGGGATGTACAAAGAATGAGGTAGTCTAAGAGAGTAACAGCACACTGGCTGTGGAGTCAGAAAGACTCCACCTCTAAACTTTGTTTCCATCTCTAAACTTTCCAGCAGTGTGGCCTAATTTTTCTGTACCTTAGCTTTGTCGTTATCACTAGAATCCTTCACAGGGCTGCAGAGTGGATTAAGCAAGAGTGCACAGGACTCAGACATATGACCGCTGGTAATTGGCTTTTATAAACTGTCAAAAAATATAGACCTGTAATGCCAGCACTTTGGGAGGCCGAGGCAGCAGACTGATTGAGCCCAGGAGTTCGAAACCAGCCTGGGCAACATGGCGAGACACTCTCTACAAAAAATACAAAAATAACCGGACATGGTGGCACGTGCCTGTAGTCGCAGCTACTCAGGAAGCTCAGGAGGCTGAGGCAGGAAGTTCGCTTGAGCTCAGGAGGTCGAGGCTGCAGTGAGCTGTGATCGCGCCAAATGCACTCTAGCCTGGGAAGCAGAGCCAGACCCTGAATCTAAAAAAAAAAAAAAAAAAAAGCTTATTAAAGGAGGCTTAGCACAGCTACCCGATGACGCCCCCGGGCATTGCTGTCGAGCCACAGGGAGCTGGCGCCACACGGGACTGGCGCTCTTTGCAACGTCCCTCAAGCACTTAAGGAGAGGCGGCAGGGCCCAAGCGCAGCGGCTAGAAAATCCTTCCTTCCGGCAGGACCCTCGCGTGGAGCTCTGCAGCGAACCCTGGCCGCGCGGCCTCCGCCGTCGGGCCCCACTCTTCCTACTGGGCCCACAGTTCCGGCTCCTGCTCTGACTCCAAGAAGCCTTACCTCGGGTACAACGCGCTGCCTTCTCCCTGGGAACTTCCGGCAGGCCAACTTCCCTGGCCTTTTTAGTCTCCCCTGTGCCCTCCCACTTCGCCCTCTGGTTCTCTCCCCGCCCCTGGCCCGAGGTCACGCCCTCACCGAGTCCTAGGACACGCCCCGTGGGTCCTTGCCAAGCCCTACCTCTTCGTAGGACACGCCCTTCAAACCCTTGCCACGCCCCACCCTGGTCCGGGGCCGTTCCCCGCGTTTTTGCCTGGCCACACCCTCCTGCAGGCGCTGTCTGACTGTCGGTAGTTTGGCTGAATGAAAAAAATTCGGGGCTAGATCCCCAAACGGAAAGAAACTGTTGCATTTTCCCCAGATCCCAGTTCTCCATAGAACAGTCTGGAACAAGGGAGCATTCCGTAGCTCTTTTGGTTTTCCCCAAGAATAAATCGGAGGTGGTGCTCTGGCAATTTGATGTCACAGTGGGTTCTGGATCCTCATGCTGCATACGGAGAACTTTGGTTTTTGTGTTCCCACTTGTCACTGTTTCCTGCCCCGGTGCCGCGTTTCCTTCTCTTTAGAATTAGAGTGCCGTGCTAGAGCACTTGAACTGGCCCTGGTACTTGCTGTGACTGAAATAAACTTAGTATGTGTGAGTCTGTTGGCAAAACATGATGCTTGGAGCAGCTGCCACAGTAAAGAGTCATACCTTTAGGTATTGTAGGGGGCCAAGGGCAAACCTCTCCTTCGTCCTCTGAAAGTTTGCTGAAAATCAACTGACAAAAGACAGTTTCACAGTAGAAAAGGCATACAAATATACTAGATCGTAACTTTATGTGATCCGGGAGCCTTCAGAATGAAAACCCAAAGATGCAGGGGAAACGGTCCATTTTTTCGCTTAGGTTCAATAAAGTATGGACCGCCATGTATTCAGCTGGTGCAAAAGTAATTGCGGTTTTTAATGGCAAAAACCGCAATTACTTCTGCACCAACCTAAGAGATACTACGATGGCATAAAAAGGGTCTGAGCTAATGCCAATAGACTAAGTGAGCAAGCCCTGTCTGTTTAGATTCTTTTTGGCTTTTCTGTGCAGTGTTCCTTCCTTCTGGGTATAGAGCAGGATCCTTTCTGGAATGGGGGTCTTATGACCTACAGTCAAACAAAGCAGGGCAGAGAATTTCTTTACCGCCAGTTTTGACACAGAAAGGCAGGGGACACGCAGAGTCAAACTTTTAGGTTTTATGCTTGGCTTTGGGGATGAGGGGTTCTGGCTTCTGTGAATCACCTTGGGGAAGAGGGATTCCAGTTTCTAGAATGAGGGGCCAGAGGCAGGAGGACATGAGGTTAGAGAGAGCTGCTTCTAAGGCCTTCATTTTGGGGTATCATTTTCTGAACCCCAACCATATTACACTGTCATCAATTATTATTATTATTATTTTGAAATGGCTCTGTTGCCCAGGATGGATTTCAGTGGTGCAGTCATAGCTCACTGCAGCCTTGAACTCCTGGGCTCAAGGGATCCTCCTGCCTCAGCCTCCTGAGCAGCTGGGACTACAGGTGTGCACCACCACACTCAGCTAATATTTGTAATTTTTGTAGAGATGGAGGTCTCGCTATGATGCCCAGCCTGGTCTCAAACTCCTAAGCTCAAAGGATCCTCCCACCTCAGCCTCCCAAAGTGTTAGGACTACATGCATAAGCCACAGCACAAGGCCTAGTCAATTAATTTTATCCTGAATTCTGAGAAAAAAGAGAATAGGTATGCAGATGGGCAGAAGCTACAGATGTCATTTCAAAGGAAAGTAGAGTTTTAATAATAATATTAATAGATGATGTTTATCGGGGCCAACTCTACCAGGTTTTGTAATGGGTGTATGTTATTTTGTTTAAGATTTTGAGCAACCTGCATGTGGCAGGAGCTATTTCCCTCCAATTACAGACAAGAAAACAAACTTAGGCAAGCACCTTGTTCAAGGATAGGACTAGGGACCCAGATTAGTTGATATCAGTCACTACACTTGCCTTCTTAGTAAAGAATGGGGAATTTTTTTGGTTTGTTTGTTTGTTTGTTTTTGAGACAGAGTCTTGCTCTGTTGCCCAGGCTGGAGTGCAGTGGTGCAATCTCACCTCACTGCAGCCTCCACCTCCTGGTTTCAAGGGATTCTCCTGCCTCAGCCTCCTGAGTAGCTGGGATTACAGGCACGCCCCACCATGCTCAGCTAATTTTGTGTAATTTTAGTAGACATGAGGTTTTGCCATGCTGGCCAGGTTGGTCTCGAACTCCTGACCTCAACTGATCCACCTGCCTTGACCTCCCAAAGTGCTGGGATTACAGGCGTGAGCCACCGCACCAGGAGAGAATGGGGTGCTTTGATAGGAGATTAATAGAAATAAATTAATTCATTTAAATCAGAAAAAAAGGAGGAGAAAAGGATATACAGGTCTCGTTCTCTGTTTTTTGTTTTTTAAGGGTAAAAGTACAAGAAGTCATTTAGAAAAGGGGTTGGTTGGTAAGGGACAGTCAGGGAGAAGATACTGAGGAAAAAATTGGTTCTTAAGGAGGGTGGCTGGGTAAATCCTAGAAACAGAAAAGGGATAAAAATAGGGCCCAAGAGTAGGAAAGACAAGAATAACTGTAGGGGTTAAGAACTGCAGAGGCATGAGTGCTGGGACAGTTGGATATTAGTAGCAATGACGGGCTCACACTGAGATTCTGTAATGAGGAGATGGATCCAGGGAGGCTTCTGGAGTGATTTCAGTGCTGGCTCCCACTTTGTGTGTGCTACAAGCATGGAGCCATATAAATGTGTACCCGACAGTGGGTGGTAAGGAGAGGCTCGAAAGTCCATTATTTATAATGTTACGTATTTTAGTAGTCTATGCTGCTAGATGTTAAATGATACATGAGGTCCTTGTTAAAAAATGACTTCAGGCCAGGCGCAGTGGCTCACGCCTGTAGTCCCACCACTTTGGGAGGCCAAGGTGGGCAGATCACTTGAGGCCAGGAATTGGAGACCAGCCTGGCCAACATGGTAAAACCCCATCTCTACTAAAAATACAAAAATTAGCCGGGTGTGGTGGTGCATGCCCGTAGTCCCAGCCACTCAGGAGGCTGAGGCATGAGAATTGCTTGAACCTGGGAGGTGGAGATTGCAGTGAGCTGAGATCATGCCAGTGCACTTCAACCTAGTGACAGAGAGAGACCCTGTCTCAAAAAAAAAAAAAATTGAAAAGTAAACTTTAGTTTTTCTTTATGGAAGTTACTAAATTCTCCACTGCCCACAGTAAATCCACTGAGCAAGATTTGTGATGGATTTCAAATGCACGCTCTTATTTCTGTGGCTTTACTCCTTAAAAAGATACTAGTAAAGAGATTTTATTTCTTTTTTGAAAGAAGCAGCTACAAAGAAATTTCAAATTAATATGCAGGAGATTTATTTCAGGAACTTTCTCAAACTATTGCCTACAGGTGTGTTCAAAGAAAGGCAGAGGCCAGGTGTTGTGGCTCACGTCTGTAATCCCAACAATTTGGGAGGCCAGGGTAGCAGATCCCTTGAGGCCAGGAGTTTGAGACCAGCCTGGCCAACATGGTGAAAACCTATCTTCCCTAAAAAAACAAACAAACAAAAAAAACAGGCCAGGTGCAGTGGCTCATGCCTGTAATCCCAGCATTTTGGGAGGCCGAGACGGGTGCATCACAAGGTCAGGAGTTCCAGATCAGCCTGGCCAAGATGGTGAAACCCTGTCTCTACTAAAAAACATACACACACACACCCACACACACAAAACTAGCTAGGTGTGGTGGTGGGTGCCTGTAATCCCAGCTACTCGGGAGGCTAAGGCAGAGAATTGCTTAAACCCGGGAGGCAGAGGATGTATTGCGCCAAGATCACGCCACTGCACTCCAGGCTGGGCAACAGAGCGAAACTCCATCTCAAAAAACAAAACAAAACAAAACAAAAATTAGCCAAAGGTCATGCCGTGCACCTGTAGTCTCAGCTACTCAGGAGGCTGAGGCAGGAAAATAGATTAAACCTGGGAGGTGGAGATTGCAGTGAGCCGAGATCGTGCCACTGCACTCCAGCCTGGGAGGTACAGCGAGACTCCATCTCAAAAAGCAAAAACAAAAACAAACAAACACAAACAAACAAAGAACAGTGGAGAAAATCATGTAAATCCAATGCACAAGAATGGAAAACTTTTTAGCATATAGCACCTGTGTACATACTGTAATCCTATTTCACTAAGCACTGTTGTTAGTTAAACACTAAATGCTACTGAATCTTTTAGAAAGTAAAATAAACATTCTTCACTACCGGACTCAAAATCTACTAGCCCTGGGATAGGCAGACAAGAATGGGTGAAAAGGGTTCTTGAGGATGTTCTGCTGTTAAACATGATAATCTGGCATCAAGCTTGTGCCCAACTTTATTTTTCAGTCTTTCTTCCTAGAGAAGCTTAACTTGGAAATAATTTTTGAAACCAAGAATATCAATGTACTGTCGTATGTCTGTGATGAAGTAGCAAAGTTGAAAATCACATTATTAAGGAACCGAGTTTCCAAATCGATCTCTCAGTTAAAGGTTTAGTTCAAATGCACTCTCATTTCTACAGTACTTGCTTTTCCTTTTCATAGTATCTTTGAATTTTGACAGTACCTGTACCCGGGAACACTAAATTGGCAAAAAGAACGAAATCAAAAGCAAACATCCAAAGCCCCTGCTATTTGGGTTAAAATTCTAGAAAACACCCAGGTTTTCATCACCCTAGTTAGTTGTTTTAAATATTTACACAAAAGTAGTCTACAGAAACAATCTGGGGAGGGCAAAATAGAAAATAATCCAGATAATTATCAGATAAGCAGCAGGAAAAAAAAGCAGGACCTATGATGTCAATTCTATCAATGATGTTGCTGTTAGGTTTTAATTGTTAATTGGAAGCTGAAATTTACAGTGCTGCAGAGATTTTCTTGGTTTAATTTTGAGTCATGGTGTGATAAGCCATTCCTATCATTTATAGGACACCTATTAGATACTAATGTCACAAGAGAACTAGAACAGAACTTTGAACACACAGATCGTTTTCTATCAAATTCCTATTCTTTGTACCCCCCAGAAAATACAACTAAGTATTCAATGTATATTATTACTTCACTTAGAAGCAAAGGAAAAGTGAAATTTAAATCATTCTAGATCTTTTTTTTTTTTTTTTTGAGATGGAGTCTCTCTCTGTCGCCAGGCTGGAGGGCAGTATCGGCTCACTGCAACCTCCGCCTCCCGGGTTCAAGTGATTTTCCTGCTCAGCCTCCTGAGTAGCTGGGACTACAGGCATGCACCACCATGCCCAGCTAATTTTTGTATTTTTAGTAGAGACGGGGGTTTCACCATGTGGGCCAGGATGGTCTCGATCTCTTGACCTCATGATCCGCCTGCCTCAGCCTCCCAAAGTGCTGTGATTATAGGCGTGAGCCACGGCGCCTAACCTCATTCTAGATCTTAAAGAGCCAGATTGAGAACACACAACCCCGATACTGAGTGAGCCTTTCATCCAGGACTATGTCTTCATCAGTACGTTTTTACAACCTTTTGTAGAAGCCAACTACAAGTTTGTCTTAAAAAATATTTTGACTTTATAGCTGCTGTGGATAATGGGCAGGCAATTCCTCAAAAAAAATCCATCATAATTGCCATGTGATCCAGCAATTCCACTTCTTAGTGGAATTCTACCAAAGAAGTAAACGCAGGAGCTCAAACAGTCTTTTATAGCATTATTCACAATAACCAAAAAGGTGGAAGCAACCCAAATGTCCAACAGATGAGCAGATTATTAAGAAAAGGGGGCATATAGGCACAATAGAATATTATTTAACCTTAAAAAAGAATAAAATTCTGGGCCAGGCGCGGTGGCTCATGCGCGTAATCCTAGCACTTTGGGAGGCTGAGGTGGGTGGATCACCTGAGGTCAGGAGTTCAAGACCAGTCTGGCCAACGTGGTGAAATCCCATCTCTACCGAAAATACAAAAAATTAGCCAGGTGTGATGGCGGGCCCCTGTAATCCCAGCTACCTGGGAGGCTGAGGCAGGAGAATCACTGGAACCCAGGAGGCAGAGATTGCAATGAGCCGAAATCACACCATTGCACTCCAGCCTGGGCAACAAGAGAGAAAATTCGTCTTTAAAAAAAAAAAGAAAGAAAGAAAGAATAAAATTCTGATAATGCTGGAGCTTAGATGAACCTGGAAGACATTTTGCTATGTGATATAAGCCAGACACAGAGCAGACATTGTATTATTTCACTTCTATGAGATACCTTGAGTAGTACACTTACAGAGACAGAAGGGAGAAAAGTGCTTACCAGGGGCTGAGGGAAGAAGAAAATGAAGAGCTGTTATCTGTTTGGGATGATAAAAAATTTCGGAAGAGCAGCAGTGTGGGTACTTGTACAACAATGTGAATGTACCCATATTGAACCATACTTCAAAATGGTTAAAAACAAAAATAATAAAAGGTTAAAATAGTAAATTTTATGTTGTGTATAGTTTGCCACAATAAAAAATATTTGACTTTAGATGGCTGTGTAGATAACCAGCAATAACTCGAATTAGAATACCTATTACTCTCACTAATATTTGCTAGTGTTAAAGAAAGGGTCAGAATTTTAAATTATATCACCATTACTTAAAAAAACTTGTTAATCAAATCACTTTGTTGATATATATATCTATATATAATATAGATATGTATAGACATATACATATTATATATATTATATATAGACATATACATATTATATATATTATATATAGACATATGTATTTTATATATATATAATATATATATTATATATATGTAGACAGAGAGTCACTCTGTCACTCAGGCTGAAGTACAAGGCTCAATCTCAGCTCATGCAGCCTCTGCCTCCCAGGTTCAAGCAATTCTCCTGCCTCAGCCTCCTGTATAGCTGGGATTACAGGTACGTGCCACCACGCCCAGCTAATTTTTGTATTTTTCGTAGAGACAGGGTTTCACTATGTTGGCCAGGCTGGTCTTGAACTCCTGACCTCAAGTGATCCACTCACCTTGGCCTCCAAAAGTGCTGGGATTACAGGCGTAATCCCCACCTAAGTATTGTTTAGCTTAGCAATTTCTTTTGGTAATTGTAATTGTGCCCAGCCTACGTATTTTTTAGCTTAGCAATTTCTTTTGGTATTTGCGACGGAGACTTAATGGTATTTGGTGACTGTGCTCACTGAACCCGTTTCCCACTACTCCTGGACACATAGCTATACTACATTTCCCAGTCTCCCTGGCAGTTAGGTGCGTTCCTGCCACCACATTCCAGCCAATGGGATGTGGGAGAAGTAGACATATTCCTTCCAGAACCAGCCCATCAAAACCATCCTTCCTCTCTTTGTTCATCTGTGGGCTGGCTAAAGCGAATTCTCTAGGACCTGTAGAATGCAGCTGCAGGAGGGCAGGGGGCTATATTTGAAGAGCTGTGTGGAGCAGAACCCTCCCACCAACCCTAACATCTGATGTAAATATAAATGATATAAATAAAAGATGTAGGCCAGGCATGGCGGTGCACACCTGTAATCCCAGCTTCTCAGGAGGCTGAGGCAAGAGAATCGCTTGAACCCAGGAGGCAGAGGCTGCAGTGAGCCAAGACCTCACCACTGCACTCCAGTCTGGGCAACAGAGAAAGACTCTGTCTCAAAAAAAAAAAAAAAAAAGAAAGAGAGAGAGAGAGAGAAAGAAAGAAAAATGTAGTTTTATTGTGGTAAGTCACTGAGATTTGGGGATTATTTGTTACAGCAGATAGCCTACCCTAATTAATATGGTATTTGTCCTAGTAAGAGAATTTGAAGAACCTGTATGCAAATTGAAAGCCACCTTTCTTTAACAAGCCATTAATAACTAATATTAAATAGGTCCCAGGATGACTTCCAAATCCTTGGGAGAATTATTTAAATACTAGAGGCATCTATTAGCACACAATAATGTGATTATTGGTCTCTAATAAATACAATGTTGAGAGCTGGATTAATTAAACAGAAGGAATGAAACTCTCAAAATGATGGCCGGGAAGCTATTTATTAACTGGAAGCTCGAGCATGTGTGTCTGTGAAGAACGCCAAATGGTGGTGTTCCCATTGTTGAAAAACAATGTGGTCTGGAACCAAACATTGCAAGGATAACTTGAATTTATAAATCAAATTCCTTGACTTTTTATCTTTAAGTAATATGAATAATTTGTTTTCATTTGAAGGTCTTCTAAAGAAATTTTTCTGCCATGGAGTTAGTTAAAACTTCTAATCAGAAACTTTGTTTAATACTGTTTTTAGGCCGGGTGCAGTTGCTCATGTCTGTAATTCCAGTGCTTTGGGAGGCTAAGGCAGGAGGATCACTTGAGTCCAGGAGTTCAAGAGCAGCCTGGGCAACATAGGAAGGGCCTGTCTCTACAAAATGGAAAAACTAGACATTAGGCAGGCATGGTGGCACGCACCTGTGATCCCAGCTACTCGGGAGGCTTAGGTGGGAGAATCTCTTGAACCTGAAAGGTCAAGGCTGCAGTGACCCGTGATTGTGCCACTGCACCCCAGCCTGAGCAACAGAGCAGAGACCCTGTCTCTTAAAAAATAAAAAAAAGTCCTGTTTTTGATTGCACTATGTAAGGAACACAGGCCTTGGCAGCTTTAGTTACTAAAGAACTCCTCTGCATGTGTAGTTTGCAAAATTGTGTCACTTAGTAAATATTACCAGGATATATAAAAATATCTAGGATATATAAAAATATCTAGGATATATAAAAACATCTAGGATATATAAAATTATATATAAAAATAAAAATCATAGATACAATATATAAAAATTATGTTGCAGCTAAAATAACCAAAGAGTTTGATTCAATCTCCTAGCTAGAATAAAGGGGAACTATCAGAGTCTTGTCTTTGGAATGAATCTCCTGCCAGGGTGTGCTGCATCATGTGGATTCTCTGTGAACACGGGGGACCAGGCGGTGTAGACCAGTCCATTGGAAAGTAGCTCTGCAGTCAGATAGACCTGACTTCAATTTCTGGCTCCTCTCTTTTCTTGCTATGAGAACTCTTAATATCTCCGAGCTATGGTGTCTTCATATAAAGTGGGGATATTATTACATTGCCCTGGCCAACTCCAGGTTGTCTCAAAGATCCTTTTCCCTTTTCTGTCACACAACTAATTTAGTGAGGTTCATGGCCTCCCAGTTAAAGATGACATTGCCCAGCCTCTCTTGCAGCTAGGCATGGCCCTGTGACTAAGAAGATTAGGTGCATATCCCACCCCACTGGGAGACGATGAGAATTGAAGAAGCTGCCTGGAAGCCAGAGTTTAAGTGTTGAGGATGGCAGAAACCCTGTACCTTCGTAGGACTGGTGTGGGAATTAAATGACACACAATATGAAAGTGTCTTATTTGGGGTCTTTAGAAAAACACTGTGGAGTTTGCCAGACAAGAGAGGGTAATTAGGATTTAAGTACAGAGAAGTCAGAAATAGCAAACAGAATTGACTAAATAATCTGCTTTTAACTGAGGTCAGGAGTTCGAGACCAGCCTGGCCAACATGGCAAAATCCCATCTCTACTAAAAATACAAAAATTGGCCAGGTGTGGTGGCACGCAGCTGTAATGCCAGGTACTCGGGAGGCTGAGGCAGAAGAATTCCTTGAACCCAGGAGACAGATGTTGCAGTGAGCTGAGATCGCACCACTGAACTCTAGCCTGGGCAACAGAGCGTGGCTCCATTAAAAACAAAAAAAAAAAGCTGGGGATGGTGGCTCACACCTGTAATCCCAGCACTTTGGGAGGCCAAGATGGGCAGATCACCTGTGGTCAGGAGTTCGACACCAGCCTGGCCAACATAGTGAAACCTTGTCTCTACTAAAAATACAAAAATTAGCCAGGCGTGATGGTGCCGCACCTGCAGTCCCAGCTACTTGGGAGGCTGAAGCAGGAGAATCGCTTGAACCCGGGAGGTGGAGGTTGTGGTGAGCCAAGATCATGCCACTGCACTCAAGCCTGGGTGACAGAGGAGACTCCATCTTAGAAAGAAAAAAATAGTTCTTTTAGACAGAAGGGTAGGTGGGACTCAGGGTGTGGTAGCCTCAGCAATCACCATGCACGGAGCATCTGCCAGAAGCCCAGGATCCAAAGGTCAGGAGGAAGGATCCAACACCATGACTGCGGGCAGGAAAACCAAGTTATCAGTGCCCTGAATGGAGAGTCTAAGTGCAATGATTTAGGAATCTCAGTCAATATAGTGTCAACAACAATAATAACAGTGACAAAAATAACTATCATTTATTAACAGTCTGTTTGCCAGTCTCTATTCTAGTAGTGCTTTGTAAACATTTTAAAAGTTTACAGGCACATAATCCCCATTTTACTGACACTCAGATATGTGAAGTCTTTTTGCTCAAGGTCTCATAGCTAATAAACGGCTAAGTCAAGATTCAAATTGACATGGTTTGGATGTGTCCCCATCCAAATCTCATCCTGAATTGTAGTTCCCGTAATCCCCATGTGTCATCGGAGGGACCTGGTGGGAGGTAATTGAGTCACGGGGGCAGTTACCCCCATGCTGCCGTTCTCGTGATAGTGAGTGAATTCTCACAATACCTGATGGTTTTATAAGGGGCTTTTCTCCCTTTTGCTCAGCAATTCTCCTTCCTGCCACCATGTGAAGAAGGACGTGTTTGCTTCTCCTTCACCATGATTGTTAAGTTTCCTGAGGCCTCCACAGACCCACAGAACTGAGTCAATTAAACCTCTTTCCTGTATAAATTACCCAGTCTTGGGCAGTGCTTTACAGTAGCATGAGAACAGACTAAGACAGTAAGTCTAGGACGAGCTGACTCTAAAACTCAAACTCTAAGAACTGCTCAGTAATCCAATCCCAGTTATTTGGGAGGCTCAGGCAGGAGGATCGCTCCAGATCAGGAGTTTGAGACCAGCCTGGGCAACATAGTGAAACCTCATCTCTTAAAAAAAAAAAAAAATTAGCTGGACATGGTGGCAGGCTCCTATTGTTCCAGCTACTCGGGAGGCTAAGGCAAGAGGATTGCTTGAGCCCAGGAGTTTGAGGCTGGAGTGAGCTATGATCACGCCATGGCACTCCAACCTGGGAAACAGAATGAGACCCTGTCTCTTAAAAGAAAACAAAACAACCCAGTAATCTAAGTGAAGTGTTTAGCACAGTGCATAGCAAAGGGATCAACAGATGTTAGCTGTTATCTAGACAAGGGATTGTTAGGTACAGATCAGCAGAAACAAAGTGGAAACTCACCTGGAGACCCTGTGAAGCCAGGCTCCTTATATACTGGTGTATGTGTGTGCGTGTGTGTGTGTGCGTGCACGCAGTCATGTGTGCATGCATGGGTGTGTGGAGGGGAGGCCAGTGTGTAGGTGGAGGGACACAGTGGGAGGTGTTCTGGTGAGTAAGGAAACTTGACTCATATCAGAGAGTAAAGAAGTGAGGAGTCAGAAAGCAAAGGTATTCCTAATTTCAAGCATTCTTTTTTCTCTCCAATTGTGCAGAGAAGGAACCAGATGCTTTCATAACAAGGAAGCTGGAAAGAAAAGCTAACACTCTTCCTGATTATCACAAAATGAGAGAGGTTTAGAGCCAGAAGAAGATCTTAAAAACAATCTAGTGTCCAACCCTTTCCTCTTGGAAGGAGGCAAAGGACATTCACTGGGATTTTAAAAAATCACCATCTGCGGAGAAATAAGCAAACTCAAAAGGGCCTTTAATGCAAAGAGCCTGAAGTCTCAGAGAGAAGCAGGGTGAGTCAGAAAGCACTTCATAATCACAGCATATGTGTGAGATTAAGGTTAGAATACGTGTTAATAGGAACAGATGTAATAGGAAAACTTTCATATTAGGCTTTGCATTCTTTTTCTTAAGATTCCTTAAACTGTTTAAAAATAGAGTATTTCATTATTCTGATATTTAGATGGTAATAGGATGTGAGGATGATTGGGTCATTTTCATAAAGAACTATCTTTGGCTGGGTTTGGTGACTCACACCTGTGATCCCGGCACTTTGCGGGGCTGAGACGGGAGGATGGCTTGAGCCCATGAGTTTGAAACTAGCCTGGGCAACATAGCAAAACCTCATCTCTACAAAAAATAAAATAATTAGCAGGGCTAGGTGCAGTGGCTCATGCCTGTCATCTCAGCACTCTGGGAGGCCAAGGCAGGCAGATCACCTGAGGTTAGGAGTTCAAGACCAGCCTCACCAACATGGCAAAACTACGTCTCTACTAAAAATACAAAAATTAGCCAGGCGTGGTGGCACTTGCCTGGAATCCCAGCTACTTGGGAGGCAGAGACAGGAGAATCGCTTGAACCTGGGAGGTGGAGGTTGCAGTGAGCCGAAATCACACCACTGCATTTCAGCCTGGGTGACAGAGCGAGCCTCCATCTCAACAACAAAAACAACAACAACAAAACAAAATAATTAGCCAGGTGTGGTGTTGCATGCTGTAGTCCCAGCTACTTGGAAGGCTGAGGTGGGAAAATGGCTGGATCCCAGGAGTTTGAGGCTATAGTGAGCTATTATCGCCCCACTGCGCTCCAGCCTGGGTGACAAAGCAAGACCCGGTCTCAAAAAAATAAAAAGAAAAAAACACTATTTTTTTAATCTAAGGAGCATAAATGTGGCAGCTCTTATTTGAGGGCAAGCACACAGGTTTTTTTTTTAATTGATACAGATGAATAATGCAATATATATTATGTAATTTATAAGGCCTAGTAATAAGGTAAACAGCTGTGAACCCAACCCAGCATCGTTAATGCCATTGATGTTCTTTGCATATCTCCCCACTGCCACATTTCTCACCTCCCCATTGCAGGCAGCCACCCCCCTGAATTTTATGTTAATTATTCTTTTTTTTTTTGAGACAGAGTCTCACTGTCATCCAGGCTGGAGTGCAGTGACATGATCTCGACTCACTGCAACCTCCGCCTCCTGAGTTCAAGCGATTCTCCTGCCTCCGCCTCCTGAGAGGCTGGGATTACAGGTGTGTGCCACCATGCCCGGCTAATATTTGTATTTTTAGTAGAAATGGGGTTTCAACATGTTGGCCAGGCTGATCTTGAACTCCTGACCTCAGGTGATTCATCTGCCTCGGCCTCCCAAAGTGCTGGGATTACAGGCAGGAGCCACTGTGCTCAGCCAATGTTAATTATTCTTCTGTTATTTTTAGAGACATCCAGTACTGCAGGCCTTTCACCACCACCACCTCCTGCAGGCAGGACACAGAATAGTGGGAAAGTGTTACCCTTGAAAATCAGACCTGCAAAGTGACAGCAAATGCCATTTTTCTTAATACAGTTTTGCTCAAATTTAAGTTGTCTTTAAAGTTAATGACGGTACTTTGCAGACATGGAACATAAGACATAAGTCACTTATAAAAGTTCCTTCAAGCGCTAGAATCAACAACAGTATTCAACACATAGTATGTCAGTTAGCCGCTATAACAAGTCAATACACTTGACTTTTTCTAAGCTTTTTAGGGATAAAAATTCCCAAAGGGCTAATTTCTAGAGTAATTACCTATTGAAAGACTGTTCTGTGTTTGTCAGATTTTTTTTTTTTTTGGTAAAGGTGGGGATCTCGCTACATTGCCCAGGCTGGTCTTGAGCTCCTGAGCTCAAGCGATCCTCCCGCCTTTGCCTCCCAGTGCTGGGATTACAGGTGCCAGCCACGGCACCTGCCTACGTTTGGCAGATTTTGAATGATTGAGAAGAGTTCCTGGCTCACTCCTCTGCTCTTTAAGTTAGAGATCCCAAGGGTTTACTGGTGAAACTCTATATTGTAGAAACAGAATGACTCTGTTTTTGTAGGCACAGCGTGGGCTGGGAAAATTCTTCAAAGAGGGTAAGACCTTGATAGGGGCAGTTCTGGCCACACTGGCTTCCCTGTTGAAGTTAGAACAGGGGCAGACCAAGAGCCTAAGCACCAAGACTTCAGGATCTATGGGATCCACCGCAAGTCCCACTGAACCTTCAGAACCTCAGTTAACCCCATGGTGTCCGAGGAATACTGCGGATAATAGATCCTTCATCTCAATACTGCTCGGACTCTCCCAGTGAAACATCTTGACTCAGGTCATTCAACAGAAAGAAATCTGAGAACTAGAGTCCAAGAGCAAATGATGATTTGGGATAAGAAGGCATGTGACTGTCAGAGTGTGGAGTGCAAATGAAGAGGAGAAGAAAATGGAAGGCAGTCCTGGCTTTGTCTTTCTCTCCAAATAGTAAGTCAGTAACTAAAGACAATGATGTTAAATAACTTGCTTTATTCTTTTGAGTATTTTGATATCAATGGTTTGAAAAGGAATATTGGTTGTGTCTTATTTTGCAGCTAATTTTGGCACATTTCTCTCTACCTCTAGTTTTGTGTTCCAGTAATAACACTGGCAAAGGTCTCAGAATGCAGATGCCGGTGGCTACTACATGCCTGCTCTGAGACAGTAGTTTATGTTGTGTTCTGTTGAAATGCTACCATGAGCTGCTGAGTGTTGCCGTAGAATTTCTGTACCTGATTAGCAGATTGGATAAGTTTCCTTTGCCTGGCTTGAGAGTTGTGCTTTGCTAATGAATTGCATGAACACGTAATGTGGTTCTTAATGGCTCACACCTGACCTTGTAGTTGCACCTGTACCGAGTGATTCCTGTGGTTCTGTTCACATTCAAAATCCTTAACCAGCCTTATTTAAAGATGACTTCCTGATTGGTAGGGGGATAGACAGAAAGGCAAGGAGAGAAAAAGTTGGAAAAGACAGGATTTGAAATTACCCAGGGACTTCTTTAAAAGGACAAGCTATTATTACTCACATTATTTATTATAGTAATAGAAGACAACCTAATTTTGTTTGGACATCAGGCAAATTCAATATTTTACAAGAAATCTTGTAGGAATAAGGTATCATTTGTACCCCTCAGAGATGGGATTATTGCTTTCCTTCTGGCATGGGTACAATCATAGAAATGTTTATTTCCCTAACTTTTTTGCTTGCCTTCTTTCCTCTTTTAGATAACAGGACAGCCTGGCTTATCAGCATAAAAAATATTTCTGTCAGCATCCAGAGAACACCAAGTAAGTGTAAAAGGAGAGCAGTTATGTCAGCCTGCACTTTTAACCTAAGCCTAGACACCAAGGGCTGCCGTAAATTTAAAAAAAAAAAAATCTCAGGCTGTCACACTAATTAACAGACGATAAGGTACAAATATGTTAGCACATCCCTTTTGACAGGTGATAGAAACCGCACATGAAAATATTTAATTGGATGTGAGTATTAAGGTGGAAAACATGACTTTAGGTGGGAAGAAGAAAAAAAACCCTCTTGCTACAGCAAGACACATTTTCCCTTCATTTGGAAAAGGATGCAGTTCAAAATAACAGTCTACGTGTGTATCGCGTCTTCGTTGAATTATGATACTGACATGATCTGCTCATCTCCCAAAATAAAAGTGCTATCACCAATTTCTTTTGAATTTATTCAGTTATACTGAGAGGTGATGTTGGAAAGTTCTCTTAGGATCAAGTGAATCCCTAATCTCTTTAAACTGAGAAACTTAATTTTAAAATTAGAATGGTATTGACATGTAAATTCGGGGTCTTGACTAACACTTCACTTTACAGAAGAAATTAATATTTTCTGGGGGTTCTATTACAGGTGCTTTTCCTTGGAGGCAAATCTGAAACTCTCGTCATAAGAATAAATTCCAAATACAGAATTAAAAATTGTGTGCTTTTGAGTAATGGTTTTAAAATAAGGAAATTAACCCATTCTCCATAGAGAAGCCGGGGAATTAAAATGTGGTTGTTAAACTTCAGAGCACTGGAGAGTCACAGAGTATTGTTAGGCTGTAACTTCATATTTCTGAAGGTCTCCACTATTTTGCACACTGTAATTACATCAATTTACAGTGTGCTGCAGGAAGAATCACATTTGGGTGACTTCCTTAGAAGCAGCCTGTTATAGCTGGCTGCCTCTGGAAATGAAAAATGGTGGGTTTTTCTTTTCTGGTAAGGGTAGTTCTAGGCAAAAGATTTGCATCCACAAAAAAATGTCTTTTGACTGGGCGTGGTGGCTCATGTCTGTAATCCCAGCACTTCTTTGGGAGGCTGAGGCAGGAGGATTGCTTGAGCTAGGAGTTCGAGGCCAGCCTGGGCAACATTGTAAGACCCTGTCTCAAAAAAAAAAATTGTTTAAAAAATTAGCCGGGCATGTTGGTGCAGGCCTGTAGTCCCAGCTACTCAGGAGGCCGAGGTGGGAGGATTGCTTGAGTCTGGGAGTTTGAGACTACAATGAGCTATGATAAGCCCACTGCACTCCAGCCTGGGCAATGGAGGAAGACCTTGTCTCTATTTAAAAAAAAAAAAAAAAAAAAGCCAGCCAGGCACAATGGCTCATGCCTGTAATCCCAGCACTTTGGGAGGCCGAGGTGGGCAGATCACGAGGTCAGGAGTTTGAGACCATCCTGGCCAACATGGTGAAACCCTGTCTCTAGTAAAATACAAAAAATTAGCCAGGCATGGTGGCACACACCTGTACTCCCAGCTACTGGGGATGCTGAGGGAGGGGAATCGCTCAAATCCGGGATGCGAAAGTTGCAGTGAGTTGAGATCGCGCTGCTGCACTCCAGCCTGGCAACAGAGCGAGATTCCATCTCAAAAACAAACAAACAAACAAACAAACAAAAAACCTTTAATGTCTCCCACCATTTTCCCAATGCATTTCCATTTCTGTCTTTTTGATGATTCTCACACATGCTCTCTGTTCTCCATTGCATGCTCTCCTCACTCTGGGGTTTCTTGTAATTTTTACTGGGTAGTGCTGTACATGAGTTCAGCTGCTCAGCAATTTTCCTCGTCGACGCCCTAGCGCTCACTAGGTATCACCATTCTCTATTAATCACACCAACATGAAAATCCCCTGTTGCTGCAAGTTTCAAGTTTTTTTGATGAAAAAAAAAAAAAAAAGCCTTACACCTGTAATCCCAGCGCTTTGGGAGGCTGAGGAAGGAGAACCACTTGAGGCCAGTAGTTTGAAACTACCCTGGACAATATAATGAGATTCGCAAATCTACCAAAAAAAAAAAAATTCGTGCTCAATTATTTATGCAGGATAATGTATTCAGGAGTTGCCCATCTAGTTAGGATATTTGCATACTGCCATGGTCTGAATAATTGTGTCACCCCATCCTCAAATTTATACATTGAAACCTAGTCCCCAGTGCAATCGTATTAGAAGGTGGAGATGTTGGAATGTGACTAGGTCATGAGAATAGAGCCCTCTCATATGGGATTAATGCCTTTATAAAAGAAACCCCAAAGAGCTAGCTAGCTCCTTCCACTATGACAGGTGACAGTGAGAAAGTGCCATCTATTAACCAGAGAATGAGCTCTCACCAGACACCAAATCTGCTGGTGCCTTTAATCTTGGACTTTCAGGTCTCCAGAATTGTGAGCAATAAATGTTTTTGTTTATAAGCCACTCCATTTATTCCGCTTTTGTTATAGTAGCCCCGTCAGACTATGATACATGCTCTCAGTTGTCACCTGGGAAAGACGCCTTTTTTAATCTGAGTAAAACCAATCTCATAAGACGTATTATAAAACAGTGTCCCATTGCCAATCAGGTTTGAAACGTACTGCCTATTATGTCACATTTTTTGGAGATTTGTAATTCTTAGCTTTTCCAAACGCCAGTAAGTTTTATGGTAAATGCAACTATTTCTTTAAATCTAGGATTTCTTTACATTCATGGACATTAATGAACATCTGTCTGTGTGTATGGTTCTTTTCTTAGTATGACATAGATTAATGCTCTGTGGAGTACACACTTAGAGATATATACTGCCTTCATTCAAAGTAGTGATTTGTCTGATGGTATGGGTTTCAGACACTGTGATGACAACTTGGGATAAAGTTTTTTTTGTTGCGCAGGCTGGAGTGTAGTGGCACAATCTTGGCTCACTGCAACCACTGCCTCCCATGTTCAAGTGATTCTCCTGCCTCAGCATCCCAAGTAGCTGGGATTATGGGCATGCACCACAACACCTGGCTAATTTTTGTATTTTTAGTAGAGATGGGATTTCACCATGTTGGTCAGTCTGGTCTCGAACTCCTGACCTCAAGTCATGCACCTGCCTCAGCATCCCAAAGTGCTGGGATTATAGGTGTGAGCCACCATGCCCACCAGGATAAAGTTGTTTTTTGTTTTTGTTTTTGAGACGGAGTCTTACTCTGTCGCCCAGGCTGGAGTGCAATGACACAATCTCGGCTCACTGCAGTCTCTGCCTCCTGGGTTCAAACGATTCTCCTGTCTCAGCCTCCAGAGCAGCTGGGATTACAGGCGAGCGCCACCACGCCCGACTAATTTTTGTATTTTTAATAGAGATGGGGTTTCACCATGTTGACCAGACTGGTCTTGAACTCCTGACCTTAGGTTATCTGCCCGCTGCGGCCTCCCAAAGCGCTGGGATTACAGGAGTGAGCCACTGCGCCATGCCAGCATAAAGTATTTTGAAGTTAGAGAATCTTTCAATACTTCTAAAGTCAGACTGTGTAAATAGTTGTCTATTCCATAAATGTGGTGTTAGCTTTCTTATCCAGTTTACCTTAATCAATAATCACTTCTGTTTATTTGGTTAATTCAAACAAATCATTTACATATCCTTTACCCGTTCTTTTAGCTGCTCATTCAAGACAGAGGACTGTGTGGCCACAAAGAAAAGCCTCGTCATGTTTCTTCCAGCCAAATGTTGACCATTTCTTTTCACCCAAAGGAGACAATCTGTAATAACAAGGATCGTTGCTCAGAGTGTGTCACTCCCACGAAACATAACTCTGAAGGACCAGCGATCATTGTTGGAATCTGGAAGACTGAGAGAGGCAATCTGTTTCCCTTTGCCCTAGATCAGCTCTGCAGGAGATGCTCTGTGGGTGTGAGCTGGGAGCTATCTCAAGGACTCCAGTTGCCATTGCAAAGCTGCACTGTCCGAGCATGTATGCATAGGAAATGGCTTGCTTTTATTTAGAGGCATTTCTTCATATAATTTGGGATTAGGAATAGAGAAGCGACATACGGTGTTGATGAAAAGAGTCAAACTCTGTAAAACGTTTGAAGAGATTTATTCTAAGCCAAATAAGAGTGACCATGGCCAGTGACACAGCCCTCAGGAGGCCCTGAGAACATGAGCCCGAGGTGGTCAGGGCACAGCCTGGTTTTATATATTTTAGGGAGGCATGAAACCAATCAAATACATTTAAAAAATGCATTGGTTTGGTTCAGAAAAGTGGGACAACTCAAAGTGTGGGGCTTCCAGGGTATAGGTAGATTTAAACATTTTCTGGTTGACAACTGGTTGAGTTCATCTGAAGACCTGGGATCAAGAGAAAGGAAATGTTCAGGTTAAGATAAAGGATTGCAGAGACCAAGTTTTACTGTGCAGAGGAAGCTCTCAGATAGCCGACTTCAGAGAGAGCAGGTTGTAAAATGTTTCTTATCAGACCTAAAAGGGTGCCTGGCTCTTAGTTGATTATCTCCTGGACCTGGAAAAGAAGGAAGAAAAACAAAGGGGAAAGGGGATTCTCTATAGAATGTGGATTCTTCCCACAAGAGACTCTGCAGGGCAATTTCAAGGTATGGCAAGGAAATATATAGTGAGGTTAAATATTTTGATTTTTTTCCTTGTGTCATAATGGTATGCCAGAACCAGATTGGAAAGTAAGTCACGATATATAGGATCAAATAAAACCCATCTGGCTGGGCACCTGTAATCCCAGCAATTTGGGAGGCCAAGGCGGGCAGATCACTTGAGGTCAGGAGTTTGAGATCAGCCTGGCCAACATGGCGAAACCCCGTCTCTACTAAAAATACAAAAATCAGCCAGGTGTGGTGGCATGTGCCTGTAATCCTATACAATTTGGGAGGCTAAGACAGGAGAATCACTTGACCCTGGGAAGTGGAGGTTGCAGTGAGCCGAGATCGCGCCACTGCACTCCAGCCTTGGCAACAAAGCAAGACTCCATCTCAGAAAAAAAAAACAAAAAAAAGACATCACTTTGGAGATTCCCAGGATTTCAGGAGTTGCAGGACAGGAAACAGGGTTGAAGACCAAATAAATGTATATTTCATAATATCACATTCTCTTTTCAGCAACTCTGTCTGGCACATGCTCGCACTCTTAAGGGAATTAGAATCAACTGGTCCTCACATAAGATAGCATCAATAATTTTATTCCTCTATAAATTGGGAAGAGATTAGAAATAAAAACCTTAATAGAAGCACAAGCATGTGTTAGTTTAAATTACTCTAGGGTGTGTAATTTCTGGTGAAAAGTAAATAGTATGTACTGGTTTACAAAGGAAGTACTCATGGAATAGTTTACTAAAGAAAAGTAGATTCATCCATCACACAGTACTTTTCTTGAACATTATTTAAGAATTTATGGGGAAAGATATTGTTCTCCAAAAACCACAACAAACAAGAAATGGTAAAAATGGCACACATTAGAAGCTTAATTTTGTTCTAAAACAATGTAAAAGACATTAATATTTGTCTGTATTTCCTTACACTTTAACATGACTTTCCTCATGCCTGTAATCCCAGCAATTTGGGAGGCCGAGGCAGGCGGATCACTCGAGGTCGAGAGTTTAAGACCAGCCTGGCCAACATGGTGAAATCTTGTCTCTACCAAAAAATACAAAAATCAGTCAGATGTGGTGGTGCATGCCTGTAATCCCAGCTACTTGGGAGGCTGAGGCAGGAGAATTGCTTGAACCGGGGAGGCAGAGGTTGCAGTGAGCCAAGATCACGCACTGCACTCCAGCTTGGGTGACAGAGTGAGACTCTGTCTCAAAAAAAATAAAAAATAAACAAATAAATAAATATGACTTTTAAAAAATATTGCTCAGAACTTTCAAATATTGCTCATAAAAACTATAGTTTTAAAGATGTACAGGTCAAATTCTGCTAAGTGAGAGTTTTGATAAACTCCACTCAGTCTGTTTACTGGAAAAATATACTGGGCATATAGTAAATTTTACGGATTATCATAGTGTGAAAGTATTATATAACATAAATACGAAGCAGATCAAATTGCTATTATTATACTGTAATTCAAATTTCTTTTGGGGGAAAAGTTATAGAAAGCAAGCTGTTCTGATTAGAAAAGGTAGGTCAGGTGTGGTGGCTCACACCTGTAATCCTAGCACTTTGAGGGGCCAAGGCGGGTGGATCACCTGAGGCCAGGAATTCGAGACCAGCCTGGATAACATAGTGAAACCCCGTCTCTACTAAAAATACAAAAATTAGCCAGGCGTGGTGGTGCATGCCTTTAATCCCAGCTACTCGGGAGGCCGAGGCAAGAGAATCTATTGAACCCGAGTGGCGGAGGTTGCAGTGAGCTGAGATTGTGCCACTACACTCCAGCCTGGGCCACAGAGTGAGACTCCATCTCAAAAAAAAAGAAAACATAATAAAACATAACTGTGGCCCCATGCCAGTATGCCAACGAGCCTCACAGTGCCTCTGTCCCCATGCTCCGGTGAAAGAACTGGAGTTTTGAATGCTCATCCTCAAACACTGGCTGACCCTAGATTCATGAGAACAAGCTAAATAATATTTTCTACCTTCTAAGAAAAGAGTTAATGCATTTGGGAAAGTTGTTCAATAACAAGGATTGAAATGAAAATGTTTTCTGTTTAACCCAGAGTTAAACAGAAGTTTATCATTGTTAAAAATTACAAAGCACATTCAAACTGACCACAATACCTTTTAGTGAATATTTATACTAACCCAGGAGAACAGGGACTTTTCAGAAAAAGGATACCACAGGAAAAAGGGTGGGCATAGGATGACCTGGGCCTATGGGTTAAAATGCATATCAGTGGGTTCCGCACCAAGAGATTCTAATGCATTCATTTAGGCTTAATAATTTTCCCAGTCAAAAATCATGACCCCTTGGCCAAGTGTGGTGGCTCATGCCTGTAATCCCAGCACTTTGGGAGGCCGAGGCAGGTGTACCACCTGAGGTCAGGAGTTCAAGACCAGCCTGGCCAACAGGGCGAAACTTCTTTTCTACAAAAAATACAAAAAAAATAGCCGGGTGTGGTGGCACATGCCTGTAATCCCAGCAACTCGTGAGGCTGAGGCATGAGAATGGCTTGAAACCAGGGGAGGCGGGAGGTGGGGGGAGCTGGGGGTCGGAGGTTGCAGTAAGTCAAGATCGCGCCACTGCACTCCAGCCTGGGTGACAGAGGAAGACTCCATCTCAAAAAAAAAAAAAAAAAAAAAAAGAAATCATGACCCCTGACTGGGGCTGTGACTTATGTCCATAATCTGAGCACTTTGGTAGGCCAAGGCAGGAGAATTGCTTGAGGCCCCAAGTTTGAGACCAGCCTGGGTAACATAGTGAGACCCACCCCCCCCACCCACCTCCTCACCCTCATCTCCACAAAAAATACAAAAATTAGCCAGGCACGGTGGTGCGTGCCTATAGCTCCGGTTACTCAGTGGGCTGAGGCAGGAGGATTGCTTGAGCCACAGAGGTCTAGGCTACAGTGGGTCGTTATTGTGAAACTGTACTCCCAGGCTGGGAGGCAGAGGGAGCTCAAAAAACACACACAAAAAAGCAAAAACAGATGAAGCTACCCCTCCTATCCTCACCCCCACCCCAACTCCCTCTGATGGTTTTCATGCAAGAGGTCTGCAAATGCACTTTGAGAAACTCTGCCTGTATCTTATTGTCAAGTTGTTAATATTTATCTTTATAAAATGTATCCTAAATATATGCATGCAGAATTCTGGATCAGAGATAGATTTCATATCAAACACCTCATAGTAAATGTAATAAGTGCGCTGGTACCCCTAGCTTCAGTCTTACTCCTGAGGTAACGTGATGAGAGCCAGGTCAATTGTCCTACAGGAGAAGGCAAGAACAAGGAAACTGATTTCTCCTGTTCCTAAAAGGGTAGGAGGCAGTTGCCCCCTCCGCTCCTGAGAAAGTCTCCTCCTTATCCAATCCTTTTGTGTGGAAATAAAATCTAGCCAGAAGCTGGATAGCTTGGGTGTCTCTGCCTTAATGATCTTGAGACTTCTTTAAATTCCCAGCCTTGGCAGGATGTGGTGGCTCACACCTGTAATTCCAGCATTTTGGGAGGCCAAGGCAGGCTGATCACTTGAGACCAGGAGTTCGAGACCAACCTGGCCAACATGGTGAAACTCCATTTCTACCAAAAATACAAAAATTAGTTGGGCATGGTGGTGCAGGCCTGTAATTGCAGCTACTTGGGAGGCTGAAGCATGAGAATTGCTTGAACCCTGGAGGCCGAGGTTGCAGTGAGGCGAGATTGCACCACTGCACTCCAGCCTGGGCAACAGAGAGAGACTCTGTCTCCAAAAAAAAAAAAAAAAAAAAAAAAATTCCCAGCCTTGTTTCTCTCTGAAATGCAGATACCTAGAAATGTAGTATTGCTGCTTCTCTTGCAACTTGGGCTCAGCCTAAGGTACCTACTCAGGCTGTAACTCTTTGGTTCACCTGGGGAGATAAGAGAAGTTAGTACTGTTTCCGATCAGAACAATTAACTAGACAAATGGCTACAGATGAAGGCTAGGGCTTCTTATAGAAACACCGAAAAAAATTCAGGGAAGTTTTCTTTTTCGCCTCTTATTTACCAGGAGGAGAAGGAAAGAGAAACTTTCTAGCTGATCAAAGCTGCAGTAGAAGAAATTCTTTCACGTGGACCTTATGATTTAGCAAATTCAATAGTGCCTGTGCTCTATTGGGATGGGTTATGGAACTTGTGTAAAACCCTGGTGGATTTAAGCTGTAAAGCAGCCATTTTTATGAATGGATATCCAGTAACAACAACTGTCAGGAAGGCAGGAAGGCAGGAAGGCAGGTAAGAAGGTCTAAATAGGAGGAAAAGGAGACTAAGCAACAAAGGACAACGGAGCCAGTCCAGGGGCCCAGTATAGTGGCTCATGCCTGCAATCTGAGCACTTGGGAGGTCTGATGTGGGAGGGTCACTTGAGCTCAGCTCAGGAGTTCAAAATCAGCCTGGACAACACAACAAGACCTCATCTGTCTTTAAAAAAAAAAAAGAGCATTTTCTTTCTTTCTTTCTTTCTTTCTTTCTTTCTTTCTTTCTTTCTTTCTTTCTTTCTTCCTTCCTTCCTTCCTTCCTTCCTTCCTTCCTTTCTTTCTTCCTTCCTTCCTTCCTTCCTTCCTTTTTTTCTTTCTCTTTCTCTCCCTTCCTCCCTTTCTCTCTCTCTCTTTTTCTCCCTTTCTCTCTCTCTCCTTCTCTCCCTTTCTCCCTTCCTCCCTTCCTTCCTTCCTTTCTTTTTTTTTTTTTTTACAGGCAGGATCTCACTCTGTCACCTAGGCTGGAGTGCAGTGGCACGATCTCAGCTCACTGCAGCCTCCTCCCCCCAGGTTCAAGCGATTCTCCTATCTCAGCCTTCTGAGTAGCTGGGACTATAGGCACTCACCACCATGCCAAGTTAATTTTTGTATATTTTGGTAAAGACGGGGTTTCACCATGTTGGCCAGGCTGGTCTCAAATTCCTGACCTCAAGTGATCCACCCACCTTGACCTCCCAAAGTGCTGGGATTACAGGCATGAGCCACCGCGCCTGGTCTGCATTTTCATTTTCATTTTCACTGCCACTGCTGTTCTTAGGCAAACAGCCATTTACACCAATGAATGCTATGCTCTTAATGCCACTCAGGCCCCAGGAAAACACTTCTGGACATCTCCTTCTCTACATCCTTGAAACAAAATGCCACTCTACCCAATGCCGTGAATGTAGGTAGCATCCCTGCCAACATTAGAGATGAATACTGCTTCAGAGCATACGGAAAAGAAGGAGCAAAAGAACTTAGGTAGGAGAAGTGCAGAATTAACTAGTCAGATCCACCTCAGACACTATCAATGCAATTTATTCTTACATAGGAAACGACATTTCTTAGCAGAAATGTTGACTATCCAAGGATCAGGCACGGTGGCTCATGTCTGTAATCCCAGCACTTTGGGAGGCTGAGGAGGGTGGATCACCCAAGCCCAGGAGTTTGAGACCAGCCTGGGCAACATGGTGAAACCCCGTCTCTACAAAAAAAAAAAAAAAAAAAAAAATGTTAAACATATGCTTTACTTTCCTGCTTCTTTTCATGTTCTAATTTGCACTCCTGAGGATGCTCACAAATTAATGTGGTCTTTGCTATAGTGACACATGGCGGTTGAGGACATGTTTGCTTTATGAATTCATGTTACTCGTAAATTTGTAAATACTTAGGTCTAGTCTGCCGTTGTCATCTCCGGAAATTGGATGCTACTGCCATTGCCACCAAAAATTTTGAGTCATTTGGTTCTCAATTCTGAGTGAAGAGTTTATGTATTGATAGATCAAGGACCAATAGACCCAGTGCCTACCTGCAAGGGATTTGGTATTGTGGGGCTTCTATAGTAGAATGTGGACTTTTTCTCCTACCAGTTCCCAAATGGTGCCTATTGCCTAAGTATAGAAAAAGGCCCAGATAGTGTAGGCAACCAAAAAAGCAAAATGAGACAAAATGAAAAGACAGTAACAAGTCTGCAGCACCCTGTAATTCACATTGTGCTATGTGAGCAATAGGACTGTGCTATAAGTAAGAGTGGTGGGTGTATGCGTAGATATTGATTACTTTTCTTTTAAAAATCTTACCAGGAGGGCCAGGTGCGGTGGCTCACACCTGTAATTCCAGCACTGTGGGAGGCCGAGGCGGGCCGATCACGAGGTCAGGAGATCGAGACCATGTTGGCCAACATGGTGAAACCCCATCTCTACTAAAAATACAAAAATTAGTTGGGCGTGGTGGCACGTGCCTGTAATCCCAGCTACTTGGGAGGCTGAGGCAGGAGAATTGCTTAAACTGGGGAATCAGAGGTTGTAGTTAGTTGAGATCGCACAACTGCACTCCACCCTGGTGACAGAGCAAGACTCTATCTCAAAGAAAAGAAAAAAAAAAAGATCTTGCCAGGAAAGATTGCTACCATTGAAGATAACAGCTTTTACACGTTTTTGATTCTCTGCTTCCAGTACATTTTTTGAAATTAAGCTTCTAGCTGGTCCTATCTTTTCTTTTCTTTTTTTTTTTGCTTCATTTTCTTTATTTTTATTTTTAAAATTCTATCTTGGGAACCATGAATAGTCTTCTTAACCACTTTTCCAACACAACGCACAAGCTCATTTTCTTTATATATTTTCTCAAGGAAGTTACTAGGTGATATGTGTCTGTCATCTGGGTAGCTGTTAAAAGTACAGATTACTGATTTACGGACATGAAAATTTAAATGTTATATACAATTATGCATCACTTAATGATGGGGATGGGTTCTGAGAAATATGTCATTAGGCAATTTCATCATTGTGTGAACACTGTAATATACTTACACAAAACCAAGATGGTGTAGCGTACTACACACCTAAGCTAGATGCTACAGCCTGTTGCTTCTAGGCTACAAATCTGCATAAACTCCTGACCTCAAGTGATCCACGTGCCTCGATCTCCCAAACTGCTGGGATTATAGGCATGAGCCACCGCACCTGGCCAACACATGCATATCTTGATATATAATGAATCTCTCTCCTCTATTGTATGCGTTTTCATGCTCCCTCTCTATTTCTTTGCAGACTTCCATGTTTAAGTAAATAGATGTTTCATGAGACACATGAAACAGAACCTCATACTTCTGTGGTTCTTCATATAAAAACAAAACAGCATCAACAACACAAGGTAAGGTAAGAGAACATCAACAAATATGTAACAGGTACCTTTGCTAATGTAAACCAGAACTGTGTAAATAGGGATGGTGTGAGCTATGCATTTCTACAAACACAGAAATTTGGTGCCAGATTTCCATGGCATCACCCTCTAGATCTATTATTATTCCCTTCCATTTGAAGAAAGCAAACATATTTTTTAAATTCACAAATATTGAAAATTTGGACTTACTATTCCTTATCTCCTCCATCATGAATGCAGCTGTTCATTTCAAAACATCAACATCCAGGCATGCTTTGCAGCAACTGTTCTTCAAAAGAACACCAGGTTGTATGAATGTTGAGTGTGGATTTCCTGGGCACACTGTTGATCACAGGAATCTTCCACCAGCAGATTGGTGGCTTTTGAGGCTTTAGAAAATGTGAAATTAGTCCAGGTTACTTCCTTACTGCAGTTGGTGAGGCTTTTCAGCTCATAGGAGATAAGATGTTTAATGAGGCAGGGCAAACAAAGAAACAACATTGAGTGCTGAGGTTTCAGAACTTCTCAACTTTTCCCAACTTCAAGGAACTTCACCATCAACAATGCTACAATGTTCCCAGCACACAATCATATTACCTCACTCCCTCCTTCACTCCTTCACCAAATCCCAGACATGAATCAGATTCTGCAGGTCATATAGCTGTGTGTGTGTGTGCGTGCGCGTGCGTGTGTGTGAGACAGAGACAGAGAGAGAGAGAGAGCAAGAGCGAGAGAGAGCATGCAGGCACTGGTTCCTTAATCACGTTGATAACTTCTTTTTTTTTTTCTTTTTTTTTGAGACAGTCTTGCTCTGTTGCCCAGGCTAGAGTGCTGTGGTGCAATCTCAGCTCACTGCAACCTCTGCTTCCTGGGTTCAAACGATTCTCGCGCCTCAGCCTCCTGAGTAGCTGGGATTACAGGCGCCCGCCACCATGCCCAGCTAATTTTTTTGTGTTTTTAGTAGAGATGAGGTTTTGCCATGTTGGCCAGGCTGGTCTCGAACTCCTGACCTCAGGTGATTCATCCGCCTCAGCCTCCCAAAGTGTTGGGTTGTATCTCATGTGAGTACACAGAAAAAGAATTTTGCTTCCTTGAGATTTAGTACCTAATATTAGTCATAATTAAAATTAAAGTGAGAAAATAGAAATAATTTACCCAGTTGGTTTTGAGTCACACACAGTCAATTTTGGGGTGTGTCCTACTTGTGAATATTATGGGAATACATTTTAAAAGCAAGAATCAAAGTAGCTCACAGCCATTTATCCTAGAAAATGTAAAAGGAAGCCATATTCTTTCAAACGCCTTGTTGCTATGGGAAGTTTCGTGGTGATATGCACCCTAAACTATTTTCAAAAATGAAACAGACAATGCAATAAAAGTGAAGTTCTTTGTTTTTCTACACATTTTAAAAAGAGGTAGGGTTTGATCATAAAATGTCTAGGATTTCTCTTCTATTAACATGAAAAAGAAGTTGTCTTCATTTGTGATTTTTATAGAGGCAAGACCTCCTTAGTAGCTGTTCAAAAATAGAGTGATAAAGCTGGATATAACAGAGATAACATACATGACACCTAAAAACAGGCACAGTGGGAGACACACACAGGAACTGAAGTGCCAGGGCTGAAGACACGTGCACAGAATGCTGACTGCAGGAAGTACAAAATTCGATGGATTATTGCCAGATTCTCATTTGTTTAAACTGAAACAAAGGCAGAGAAACATTTAAGAGAGTAGAGAAACAAGATACTATCAGGTAGGAGCCCAACCTTATGTGCAAGGCAAATGAAAGGACTCTGTGACCAACATGATCAAAAGCAGCTGCCATTTCTAACACAAATAAGATCCGAAAATGTTGGTGGAGCTGCTTATACGTCTATTCTGACTCCCAGAGAAAGACCCTATTAAGTCAAACTAAATTGTTCCAAGTGCCTTAAAGAGATGGCTGTCTGTTTTACTTTTCCTGACATTCCTCAGCGAGGCTTGGTCTAATAGTGATTGTATGGAACTATTAGGAATGCATCTGATAGAAAACTGCAGTTGTCAGCTACTGCTTTATTATTCTGATGCTATACAATAATTTTTCTCTTGACCATTTGTTACAGTAAAAGGATATATTGACCTATCGTCTTACACCCTAATTAAGCAACAATGAAATTTTATAATAATATTGGATTCAAAGGGAAGATTGTATTGAAGATTGCATTTATCTTCAAACCTTACCCCATTATCGTTAGTGTGCTATTCTAGACATAAAGAAGTTCACTTTAAAAATGGATTTAACAATGCAATGCATTTTGTTCATTATTTTTTTAAAATCTAATTCCTTAAATTAGCTGAGTTTTTAACACTTACTTTCCCTTTAAAAATGAAGGCTAGAAAAACTTTATATCTGGCAAAGACATTTGGTAGGCACCTTTTTTTTTCTTGTATTACAAAAATAGATGCTATAGAAATGTCACATTGCACTAATAATATATTTTGATTGTTTAAGTGATGAACCAATCTCAGCAGATACAAATTAACCTGAAAGAAATGAGGGGTTCTTTTCCAAACAGAGAGACCACTTCGAAATTAGTAAGAAAATCGATGAGGTGAAATTAGTCAGCTAGTGAAACACAATGAAGCAAAAAAAGGATTGATCACAGCTTGATTCATTTGTGTTTATTTTAGGCACACATACTTTTATTTCCATCTTTGTACTTTCATAATTCGGTATTTCCTGGCCCTGACCGTCATAATCATTAAGCTCCTTGCAAGAGCCAGGTGATCTGTGCCCCCTGCGTTCCTGCCTGCTTCTCCTGACCACTCCTTCTGTCTCAGTGCCGTCAATTTTGATTCTTGTCCTAGTTTATCAAATACTATTTCAGCCCCAACTGGCCCTCTGTTTTTCCTTTCAAATTGGAAGCAATATATTTTCAATTTCTGGTGAAAACAGCACCTCCAGCTGCTTATAGGGTCTTTACACACAATATCATTTAAGCAGCAACATTTCTATAGGGAAGTTATAATTATTCTAATTGTTTTCATGTAAGAAGCCAAGAGTCAGAAAGGAAAATGACTTGCCAAAAAAAAGTATCTCATTGCTGCTAAGTGGCAGGGGCAGGATTTGAACCCAGGGCTGTCCAACTTTGCAATAAATGCTCTTTCCCCCTTGTAAGCCACACCTTCTAAATAGAGACCCTGAAAACATTTTGGTGGATGTCTCGGTCTGTTTGGGCTGCTGTAACAAACTCTCATAGACGGAGTGGCTTATTAATAGCAGAAATTTATTTCTTGCATTTCTAGAGGCTGGAAAGTCCAAGGTCAAGTCTCTGGCCAATTCAGTGTCCTGGTTCTTAGATGGCCACCCTCTTTCTGGGTCTTTCTATGGTGGAAGGAGTGAGGCAGCTCGCTGGGGTCTCCTTGATGAGGGCACTAATCCCATTCATGAAGGCTTCACTCTCATGCCGTGATCAAGACCCAATCACCTTGGGGATTAAGCTTCAATCTATGAATTTTGGGAGGGACACAAACAGTTCGTTTATAGCAGCGGAATTGTTGGACAAGTGCCTGAGAAAACAAAATGGTCTGTGGAGGGACCATGTAGGGGGAAATAATGCTTAGGGTGATTGGCTAAGGATAGGATGGGTTAGCACATTCGGAGGTGAATCCTGAGATATTCAAGAAGTTGGTGGTGATAGCAGCTGTGTCTTTTGGGCTATCTGAGTGGATCGCAGAGTGCCCAGCAGTGAAAACCAGAATCAGCTCTAGTGCAGCAGTCCCCAACCTTTTGGCACCAGGGACCAGTTTTGGGGAAGACAATTTGGGTGGGGAGAGACGAGGAATGCTTTCAGACTGATTCAAGTGCATTACATTTGTTGTGTACTTTATTTCTATTATTATTACATACTCACCATAATTTAGAATCAGTGGGAGGCCTGAGCTTGTTTTCCTGCAACAGTCCCATGTAGGGGTGATGGGAGACAGTGACAGGTCGTCAGGCATTAGACTCTCATAAGGAGCGCACAACCTCGATCTTTCACATGCACAGTTCACAGTAGGGTTCACACACCTGTAAGAATCTAATGCTGCTGCTATTCTAACAGGAGGCAGAGTTTAGGCGGTAATGTGAGCAATGCGGGGTGGCTGTAAATACAGATGAAGCTTCTCTCACTCACCTGCCACTCACCTCCTGCTGTGTGGCCTGGTTCCTAACAGTAACTGGTACTGGTCCCTGGCCCAGGGGTTGGGGACCCCTGCTCTAAGGCAGCCGTTCTCAACCAGGGGTGATTTTGTGCCTCCCTCCCCCTGCCCTGGGAACAGCTGACAATTCTAGAGACATTTTTGGTGTCTTAACTTGGGTGGAGGGTGCTACTAGCATCTAGTGGTAAAAGTTCAAAAATGCTGCTAAACATCCTACAATGGACAGGATAGCTCCCCATAACAAACACTCATGCAGCCCAAAATGTCAGAAGCACTAAGGGTGGGGATCCCTAGGCTATGATCCAAAGATATCAGAGTAAGAGAATGGTGTTTCAATATGGTCCATTTCACTGCCCTAATTTTTCTATGTATGGACAACTGATTTCATTATTTTCAATGAGTTGGATTTAAATTATTTTAAAATGAATGAAGCCATTTTCAGCTTGTTCATTTCTGTTGGGTTGATAGCTATTTCACTGCTATGCTATAGATGCAAAGTGTTTTCTAATGTATCTTCCTTCATTATTCTTCAACCCTAATGACTTTGAAGTAACTACTAACTTAAAAACAGCACTCTGGGTGGGCGTGGTGGCTCACGCCTGTAATCTCAGCATTTTGGAAGGCCAAGGCAGGAGGATTGCTTGAGCCCAGGAGTTCGAGAGTAGCTTAGACAGCATAGCGTGGCCCTATCTCTACAAAAAATGAGTGGTGCATGGTGGCGCACACCTGTAGTCTCAGCTACTAGGGAGGCTGAGGCAGGATGATTGATTGAGCCCAGGGGGTCCAGGCTGGAGCGAGCCGTGATCGCACCACTGCATTCCAGTTTGGGTGACAGAGCAAGACTGTCTCAAAGAAACAAAAACAAAAACGAAAACTCAGCACTCCACTTTGTCTGTGATGGAGGCAACATCTTCACTCTTTGCATTGTTTTTAAACCAGAGGTAGAGCGATTTTGAGAGAAAGAGAGACTGAGAGAGAGAGAGAGAGAAAGTACTTTATTTGCGACCCTCCTTCAGTTTGTGTCAAATCCCATAAAAGTCAGGGAAGGCATGATGGCTTCTGACAGGAGACAACTTCTCAGAATGTGGTATCATGCTGTCCAATCTTTAAGTGAAGATACTTCTTCATTCTCTGTAGGTTTCTTTTCAAAACACCACAATGAAATCATTCCTTTCTCCCTCCAAGATGGAATCTAAGATCTAGCAGGGTATCAGCGGCTCATATATTCATCAGCCTCTTTTATGTTTTGAAGATAAGGTTTCTTCTGTGTCGAGTATGAAAAGGCATTTTAATGCTATCTCTCTGACTTATTCTCCTGTGCACCTCCCCTTCCATGCTCACATTATTCTCGGTGATATCCACTCTTATTTCTTTTTAAATAGTGTGGCTTTTGATCAGGGTAGACTCTGGTGGAAATGATCAGGGAGGATTTCATAGAAATATTGCTTCTAGCGAAGGCTTTAATTCCCCCTCCTAACAGACTGAACGAGAACAGTGTTTGTCCTCTTTCAGTTCCTCGGCCCAGAGAATATTTACTGCTCTTCTTTATCAAAATCTCCTGCTCTTGAGGTTCTTGAAAGATGAATCTGAAATAAAGTATTGTTTTCCCATTCCAGCTATTGATAGGCCATTCTGTGTGAAAGGATATTGATTATGATCTTGGATAGAGAATAGTGCAGAAGAACAGAAGGAGTGATTCTCTGCTACTTTTTTTTTTTCCCTGACAATGTGCTGCCTCCACAAAGCAGTCACTTGGCAGCGTCTCACTTGGGGCCCCAATGTCCTCATTTGCTAGAAGTAATGCAAGCTGCCCCTTCAGTCCCCCACCTCTATGCAAGGTACCTGATGTTCCACAGATAATGGCGCATAGTAACTACAAGATTCTCAGGAATTTCAACTACCCAACACAGTTTTACTAAGCACTCATTAATAACCAGATTAAAGAGGCTTGAACACAATTGTTTACATGCATAGTCTGCTCCAGGTCTGCATTAGTGAATATTGTTGTCATAATTAAGTTCAAAAGGCCAGACCATTAACCCATATTTTAAGGATCAAAGGTCAAGATGAGGCACATTGCAGTTAAGAGGAAAACTTCTTATTTTTAGGTAACCCCCTAAACTAGAACTGAGCCTGAGGGAACCACAGCCTGGCTGGGATTGTCACACTTTGCTCTTCTATGTAACTACGGTAAAGTTCATGGTAAAGTTCATGGTAAAGTTCATGGTAAAGTTCATGGTAAAGTTCATGGTAAAGTTCGTCTCTTTCTGCATTACCCTCCTACCCACCTTTCTGCAAAAGGATTTGCTGTAATCCGATAGGCACTCTATCTCCATATACAATCTCCCCCATTTGATCTTTCTCTAGCGATGTTTCATCTTTGTTCTTCTCATACTTATTGGGCACTCATTAAATACTAGGCTTAAACATTCTGACATTTCCAGAATGTAGGTACCAGTATTAGCTCTCATTTCACAGGTAAGAGGCTGTGATTTGGATACTTAGCCCCTTGCCCAGAGTTACCCAGTGAACAAGTGGTGCCACCAGACCTTGAGCCCTTAGACTTTTGAGGTAGGAGCCAGGACTTGCCTCAGGAAGTGGGACTTGACTCTGAAGACAGGGTTCTAACACCGGGCCAAATTGAGGACTAGTTAAAACAGTGACAGGCCGGGCACGGTGGCTCACGCCTGTAATCCCAGCACTTTGGGAGGCCCGGGTGGGCAGATTACTTGATGCCAGGGGTTCGAGGCCAGCCTAGCCAACATGGTGAAACCCCATATCTACTAAAAATACAACAACATTAGTCAGTCTTCGTGGTGTGTGCCTGTAATCCCAGCTTCTTGGGAGGCGGAGGCACAAGAATTGGTTGAACCCAGGAGGCGGAGGGTGGAGGTTGCAGGGAGCCGAGATCGCGTCATTGCACTCCAGCCTGGGCGACAGAGCGAGACTCAGGGACAGAGCAGAGGCAGCTTTCCATAAAGCACACCCACCAGTGTGCCATATCAGTTTACCATTGCTATGCAGCACCCAGAAGTGATCACCCCTTTCCATGGCAATGACATAATGACCCAGATGTTATCACCCATTTTCTAGAAATTTCTGCATAATAGCTCCTTAATTTGCATTTAATTAAAAAGTAGGTATAAATAGGACTGCAGGACGGCCTCTGAGCTGCTACTCTGGGCGTGCAGCCTATGGGGTAGCCCTGCTCTGCAGGGAGCAGTGCCTCTGCTGCTGCTGTGCACTGCTGCTCCAATTAAGGTTGTTAAGACCCCTGTAATCCCAGCACTTTGGGAGGCTGAGGCAGGCAGATCACAAGGTCAGGAGTTCAAGACCAGCCTGACCAACGTGGTGAAACCCTGTCTGTACTAAAAATACAAAAATTAGCTGGGCGTGGTGGCACGCGCCTGTAATCCCAGCTACTCAGGAGTCTGAGGCAGGAGAATCGCTTGAACCTGGGAGGCAGAGGTTGCAGTGAGCCGAGATCTCACCATTGCATTCCAGCCTGGGCGACAGAGAGAGACTCCATCTGAAGAAAAAAAAAGTTGCTAAGACCACTGGTTCACCTTGAATTCTTTCCTGAGTGAAGCTAAGAACCCTCCCAGGCTAAGCCTCAGTTTTGGGCTCACTTCTCCTGCATCAGCTTAGCTGCAGAGTCAGTTAGGTCTACTGTATCTGACAGACTGCTGTATTCTTCCGCCACCAGAGAAATGAATCAGTGTTGGATGCACATTTGTTCTCTGAATGATCTTTGTCATTATGGCTGTGGAAACCTAGAGATAGTATGAGCCACCTGTTTACCCTTGTGGATCGCCAAAGATCACCCTTCCAACTATAGTGAATGGACAGTTCTTTATGTTCTTAGTAAAAAGAACTGAATCCCAACTTCCTTATTCTGAGGCCTGCAACTATAGTAAAGAGTTGTGGAATTGAAATGAAAATTTTGGGAGAATGGTAAGTTCTTTAAAAAAAAACAAAGTGTGGACCAGGCTCATGCCTATAATCCCAGCGCTCTGAGAGGCCGAGGTGGGAGGATCATTTGAGCTAGGAGTTCGAGACCAGCCTGGACAACAAAGTGAGACCGCATGTCTACAAAAAGTAAAACAATTAGCTGGGCATGGTGGTGCACGCCTGTAGTCCCAGCTTCTCAGGAGATGGAGGCAGGAGGATTGCTTAAGCCCAGGATATCAAGGCTGCAGTGAGCTATGTATGATTGTGCCACTGCACTCCAGCCTGGGCAACAGAGTGACACCCTATCTCAAAAATAACAACAACGACACAGTGCATGATACATTATGGATAATTCTGTTTATTTACAAACTCACACTTAACATGATATAATGGAGAAACATGTTACTATCTCTAAGAGAAGTATGAGGTAGCTTTCTTTTCCACTTCCTGAGATCACTTACCAGTGGTTTTGACATTTTAGTTTCAGAGAATTTTACTGGGCCCTAGGTTAATGTCTGTTACTTCACATACATGTTTGTTGTCTCATGGTGCTTGAGTAAAGCGGTTTTTTTTTTTTCTTCTCTGGTCCCTAGATAGACCTTCATTTTGTTTAGAGAAAATTGAAGGCTCCTATTGCTAAAAATAAGAGAGATGAATTGATAGTTAAATGTATTAAATAAAAACATTATACTTGGCTGAAAATGAGACTAGCAAGACATAAAAAATACCATTATAATATTTTCCACTTCTCTTAATTTGACACTAAACGGCTTGCTTTCCTTTATACATAGTCAATATCAGCTCACCAGAAGGTTTGGTAGTTAAGAAACAAGCTGTTAAATATTAAAGCTGTATCTATGTAATGGAATGTTTTTGGTGTGGCTGTGTTCTAAATATATCCTATTAAAATACTGTTCTACAGAGATATTTAATTACTGACATCTAATCATGCTACTGCTGCTTCTTTAACCAAGCGAAAATATGAAGTGCTAGAAAGAAAACAGTTTCATTTTAAACAGCAACATTTTATTAATCTCAGCCATAAAAGCAAACTCAGATCTCCAAATGAGATCAAACCATTTTTAAAGACAGCATTTTTCAGTTTGGTAATCCTTATGTAATGCGGAGATATATGGCTATACTTCAGGCGTTAAAACATTCTCACAAATAATGCACACAATAAAAGTTAATTATGCTCATTTATTACATCAAAATAAAATCTCAACTATGAAATTCACAAGGAGAATTTCACAGTCAACTATGGAAGATTATTTTAGATGTTTATGACCATAACAGTTTTAATACCGTAGACAATTTAGGAAGACATTAAGACCATAAACAGACAATAATAATGTCTTTCACTTGTGGAGTGCTTTCACAAATTCACGAACATTACCTCATTTTATCAAAACAGCAGTTCTGTGAATTAGGTGGGGAAAATATTGTTATAATCATTTTGACATATGGAGAAATTGAAGCCATGGAAAGGTGTGTGTCTTGTTTTAGTTCACAAAGTAAGTAGCAAAAGTGGAATTATAATCCAAGACTCTTAATTTCAATTTTTGAAAATTAGAAACCATGTTAAATGTTAGTAGTTTTTAATAGTGGTTTCTGGTGTTCAATCTTATGCTTTTTAAAATTAAGAAGGTACTATTTAAAGTGATGTGGGCTGGGCGCGGTGGCTCACGCCTGTAATCCCAGCACTTTGGGAGGCCGAGGCGGGTGGATCATGAGGTCAGGAGATCGAGACCATCCTGGCTAACATGGTAAAACCCCATCTCTACTAAAAATACAAAAAATTAGCTGGGCGTGGTGGTGGGCACCTGTAGTCCCAGCTACTCGGAAGGCTGAGGCAGGAGAATGGCGTGAACTCAGAAGGCAAAGCTTGCAGTGAGCCAAGATCGCACCACTGCACTCCAGCCTGGGCGACAGAGTGAGACTCCGTCTCAAAAAAATAAAAATAAATAAATAAATAAATAAATAAATAAATAAATAAATAAAGTGATGTGGCAAAAATGACTTCATCAATAAATATTTTCCCTCAGTGCAACATACTAGAAGTTCTAACTTCATACAAAGACCACAAAACAACTACAAAGCCATTTTGGTTCGAAGGTAGTATTGTGGGGGGAAGAAGCCTATTTACTGATTTTTCTCCTCATTCTCACTAAATAAATTTACTCTTACAAACACGCTAATTTTTCCCTCTGTTTTTTTTTATTTTGGATATGGAATCTTGCTCTGTCACCTAGACTAGAGTGCAGTGGCACGATCATGGCTCACCATAATCTTGACCTCCCAGGCTCAAGTGATCCTCCCACCTCAGCCTCCTGAGTAGCTGGGACTGCAATCACGTGCCACCATGCCTGGCTGATTTTTGTATTTTTTTGTAGAGATGGGTTCTCAGTAAGTTGCCCAGGTTGGTCTTGACCTCCTGGGCTCAGTGATCCTCCTGCCTTGGCCTCCCAAAGTGCTGGGATTACAAGCAATAGCCACTGCACTTGGCCAAACAAGTTAATTTCTATCAAGGAGAAGAGAGTGACTCTTTCTTCCTAGTGTCTGTGAATACCTTCACAAGAGGCAAGTAGGAAGGAGAAATGATGTACCTTCAATGCTAAAAGGAAAGTTGCCCCTGTTAAATACTGACATGATGATTTGGTCCATGTTCACAATGAAGGAGTCAGGAAATTTAAAGTTTGATCTTTGAATAAGAAATGGGATATAGCACTCTCTTATCCCAGCTATCAAGATATTCAAAATAAATAAACTGACCAGCTTTATAATTTCATGACTTTGAATTAAAATGTCAGCCCACTAATCTACTGGGTAAGAGACAGCCCAGCCAAAGAGATGGACAATCAATCAATATCCATGATAGTGAAATACGTGAATTCAGCTTTCTGATTTTTGAGGTTTTTGTTTGTTTGTTTGTTTTTTGTTTTTGGTCACGCCACACGTGAACCCATGAATTCCGCTTTCAGAATGTTTAATCTAACCTTCTTTGAACAAAATTGTGATTTTTTTTTTTTTTTTGAGACAGAGTCTCGCCTTGTCACCCAGGCTGGAGTCCAGTGGCATGGTCTTGGCTCACTGCAACCTCCATCTCCTGGGTTCAAGTGGTTCTCCTGCCTCTGTATTCTGAGTAGCTGGGATTACAGGCGTATGCCACCATGCCTGGCTAATTTTCATATTTTTAATAGAGATGGAATTTCGTCATGTTGGCCAGGCTGGTCTCAAAATCCTGACCTCAGGTGATCCACACACCTCGCCCTCCCAAAGTCCTGGAATTACAGGTGTGAACCATTGCACCCAGCCAAAATTCTGATTTAATGATCCTTTTGTAGTTCATGAGCATGACCATCGAGTGTTTACATGCATGTGTGAGATATGACACCTTCTGAACCTTGTTACGGAGTTGGCATGTTACCCATCTAACCTGAAAAAAAATTGTTATTTAACCTTTCTAATTATCTAGACCAGTAGTCAACCAATATCTTATGTAAAGTGCCAGACAGTAAATATTTCAGGCTTGCAGAGCCTAGAGTCTCCATTGAAACTACTCAACTCTGCCATTATAGTGCAAAAGCAGCCACAGCCAGTGTGCTAACAAATGGATCCCTCCGCCTTTCAGTAAAACTTTTTTTTTTTTGAGATGGAGTTTTGCTGTTGTCGCCCAGGCTAGAGTGCAATGGTGTGATCTCGGCTCACCGCAGCCTCTGCCTCCTGCCTCCCAGGTTCAAGTGATTCTCCTGCCTCAGCCTCCTGGGATTACAGGCATGTGCCACCACACCCAGCTAATTTTTGTATTATTAGTAGAGACAGGGTTTCATCATGTTGTCCAGGCTTGTCTCAAACTCCTGACCTCAGGCAGCCACAGGTTGCAGTTGGCCAACCCCTGATCTAGACAGGTTGGATTTTGTTGTTTTATCTATGAAACTTTATGACAAAATGATGAATTTCATTGTGCTTTTTCTTCCAACCATTTACTTTGGCCTGTTGATTTTACTTGCTTGTCAAATAATAGCCTTACAGCAAAATTGTCCTTGCTCTCTTTTTCCCTTAGTTTTCTTTGCCACGAATATTCAGTTTAATTTATTGAACATCTGCTAAGTCATAGGCAACATCCTAGGCCCTGAAGAAACAACTTGAAGACCCAAGATACCTCGCTCTGGGGGATAATAGTCTTTTCTTTTCTTTATTGAGCTGGAGCCTCGCTCTGTCACCCACTCTGGAGTGCCGTGATGCGATCTTGGCTCACTACGACCTCTGTCTCCCGGGTTCAAGCAATTCTCCTGCTTTAGCCTCCTAAGTAGCTGGGATTACAGGTGTGTGTCACCACATGTGGCTAATTTTTGTATTTTTAGTAGAGATTGAGTTTCGCTGTGTTGGCCAGGCTGGTCTCCAACTCCTGACCTCAAGTGATCCACCTGCCTCGGCCTCCCAAAGTGCTGGGATTACAGGCGTGAGCCACCGCGCCTGGCTGATATTAGCCTTTGAGGGTGACTTCTGTAAACAAATTGTCCCTTAGTGTTATGCAGCTGACATGGACATTTCTAAATGGAACACTGGGCTCACAGCGGGTAGACAGAATTATGGCCCCCAGAGATGTCCATGTCCTAATTCCCAGAGCCTGGGAATATGTGACTTTACATGGGAGAAGGGACTTTGAGATGCACTGTGGATCTCAAGATGCAGAGATTATCTTGGATTATTTTGGTGGGTCCAATATCATCAGAAAGGTTCCAGTCAGTGAAAGAGGGAGGCAAGAGAGTTGCTGCAGAGAGGGAGATGAAACTTGGTAACAGAGATCAGAGTGATTTGAGGAAAGGACCACAAGCCAGGGAATACAGGCAGCCTCCAGAAGGTGGAAAAAGCAAAGAAACACATTTTCTTCAAAAGCTTTTAGAAGGAACACAGTCCTGCCAACACTGTGATTTTAGGACTTCTGACCTCTAGAATTGTTAGGTGAGGCGAGATGGCACCATTGCACTCCAAACCTGTTAAGTCATTAGGTTTATGGTAATTTGTTACAGCAGCAGTAGGAGTAAAGACGGGGGCCAGGGATTGAGGTAATTCTGCTGAGCAGAATGGGAAGAAGATGATGGGAGACCAGCACAGTCGTTAATGCCTAGAATCTAAGCTCTTTGAGAGGCTGAAGCGGGAGGATTGCTTGAGCCCGGGAGATCGAGACCAGCCTGGGCAACATAGTGAGAACCGCTCTCTACAGAAAAATTTAAAATTTAGCTAGATGTGGTGGCGTATGCAGGTGGTCTCGGCTACTCAGGAGGCTAAGGTGGGAGGATTATTCGGGCCCAGAAAGTTGAGGCTGCAGTGAACTGTGATTGAGCCACTGCACTCTAGCCCAGCAACAGAATGAAACTCTGCCTTAATAATAATTATTATTATGTAATTATATTTAATTATTTTTTAATTATTTTAATTATTATTATTATTATTGAGGGAATGGTTCTTGAACTAGTTTTGAAAGATAAGGTTGTATTCTAGAGGAGAAAAGGGTTTGGGTGGCAAAGGCCTTTCCAGGCAGAGTGAGCAATTCAAGAACAGATTCAGAGGCACAAAATAGGCTGGTGTCTTTGGGTAGTTTTGAGAAATTTGCTAATTCACTTGCTAATTTAACATCCTGGTTTTGTCCAAGCCGGGCTACAGAGACAAAACCTGGAGAAGGGGATCAACTTCTAAGTCATTGTGAGTGGGAAAGCAGTACTTCCCTCTTATGCCCGAAATCCCCTGATGTCACAGCTGGAAGAAAGCGGGCCATGCCCGTGCCTCTGTCCCCTGTCACTGAAATTTTGCAGCTAGAGGCTACTGCCCTCAGCTGTGTCACTCAGTCTTCCCACCTTGATCATCTCTCAAAGGAGCTTGCAGAAATGATGGGGAGAAATGTTGCAAGAAGTGTATTTGTAACTGTAACGTTAATTCATTTAATAAACTCTTTTGGACCAAAAAATAAACTCTGGATGCCTACCTTAAAAGAAAATACAGCCACATACCAGGAGAGTGCTTACACGGCTAAACTGCTGCTACTTTTCCAAGTGGATTGCTGTTCCTTCAATATAAAAGGCAAAAATGGGCCAAGCGTGGTGGCTCAGGCCTCTAACCCAGCACCTTGGGAGGCTGATGTGGGCAGATCACCTGAGGTCACGAGTTCGAGACCAGCCTGGCCAACATGGTGAAAACCCATTTTTACTAAAAATACAAAATTAACTGGGCATGGTGGCACTTGCCTGTAATCCCAGCTACTGGAGAGGCTGGGGCAGGAGAATTACTTGAACTTGGGAGGCGGAGGTTGCAGTGAGCTGAGATCATGCCACTGTACTCCAGCCTGGGCAAAAAGAGTGAAACTTGGTCTCAAAAAAAAAAGTGATTGGTGTTTTTCATTGAGCACATTATCAGCTCTTTGCCAAAAATAACTATGTACCTTATACTGGGCTCATATGTGAGATTTTTCCCACCAAAGAAAGGCAATCTAGAGTTTCGGTCATGCAGGTAGAGGTGTTTGTTTTCAGAGTTCTGCCGCTGACCATTGGTTGTTTCTGTTTTTGTCATGAAAAAAAAATGCATGAAACAAAGATTAATCACTCATTTGAGCAATGACTTTGCTCTGATGATACTATTTAAGACATGAAAGTGTATTTGAACTGTTGCATTTCAAACAAGGGATCTGGCTCCAGGAAAATACTTCTCAAGTGGGACCAGTTCTGATTCAGGCAGACACCATCAAAATAAGGAAGCATAAAGAAGAATAAAGAGCCAGGCTCAGTGGCTCACACCTGTAATCCCAGCACTTTGGGAGGCTGAGGCAGGCAGATCACCTGAGGTCAGGAGTTCCAGACCAGCCTGGCCAACATGGCAAAACTCATCCCTACTAAAAATACAAAAATTAGCAGGGCATAGTGGCACGTACTTGTAGTCCCAGCTAACTTGGGAGACTGAGGGAACAGATCAAAAACCTGTCTAAAAAAATAATAATAATAATAAGGATAAAGAAAGAGATAATTTATGAGTGTTTAGCTCACACATATGCTCACTTTTCCTTTCTTTTTTATATATATTTTTTGAGACGGAGTCTCACTCTATTGCCTGGGCTGGAGTGCAATGGCGTGATCTCAGCTCACTGCAACTTCCGCCTCCCGGGTTCAAGCGATTCTCCTGCCTCAGCCTCCCGAGTAGCTGGGATTACAGGCATGCACCACCATGCCTAGCTTTTTTTTGTATTTTTAGTAGAGACAGGGTTTCACCATGTTGGCCAGGCTGGTCTCGAACTCCTGACCTTGTGATACACCTGCCTTGGCCTCCCAAAGTGCTGGGATTACAGGCGTGAGCCACTGTGCCCAACCACTTTTCCTTTCTTAAATTGAAATTCTCCTGTAATTCCAGAACTTTGAAAGGCTGAGGTGGGAGGATCACTTGAGCCCAGGAGTTTGAAACCACATTGGACAACATGGTGAAATCCCATCCCTCCAAAAAAAAGAAAAAAAAAATTAGCTGGGCATGGTGGTGTATACCTGTAGTCCCAGCTACTTGGGAGGCTGAGGTGGGAGGATCACCTGAGTCCAGCAGGCAGAGGTTGCAGTGAGCTGAGAAGGCACCACTGCACTCAAGCCTGGGTAACAGAGTGAGACTCTGTCTCAATAAATAAATAAATAAATAAATAAATAAATAAATAGTTGAAGTTCTGCTTGCTAAGGTTTAGTCCAGAATGCTGTATTTGAATGGAAGCTACTAGAAGATAGGAATCATACCTATTCATGGTTGCATCTCCCATAGTTCCTAATACAGTATTTTACACATTCTAGGTGTTTAAGACAGTGAACAAATGATGAGTGAATGAAAAGATGAATTAGGAATAAAGAAATGAACAGATTGTCCTGCTTTATCCTGGTAGATTTGGATTGGAGAAAATAATGGAAACATCAATGGCATGTTAACCCTGCTACTTATTGCCATATTTTATCGCATTTACCAAATTATCCTGTTATATTAGATTTCTTTTGTGCTGATTATCCTGTTGTATTAGATTTCTTCCATCACATGCTGACCCACTTGTTAAAAGACGAGCACCATTTTTTCTAGGAATTGCTGAACAAAAGCCCACCAGATTCACATCAGGTTCGTAGGTCTTTAAACGGGAATTCAATCCGACCCTGGCAAACCATTGAAATTCTGATCCCTTTCCCCATCCAGGTCTCTGCTGTGAGGGAGGTATCATATTGCTGAACTTGTAATAAGATTCAGTCGTTCTGATAAATATAAATTATTTATCACTTACTCCCCATTTTATGGGCTTGATGGTATTTAGAATTATATTACCCAGCATCATAAGGCTCCCTTTTCTGCATCTCGCAGTACTGAGCCCCTCTGGTAAAGGGAAAAATTGGCACATGTGGTATAAGGGTGACAGGCTTTCCAACAGATAGATGAAGTGATTGTATAATTTAATCCCAGCCACTTACTGCATAAGCCTTTATGAAGGAGAGAATCACAGTAGCTATTTTTCCACTTTAAGGACATAAGCCAAATGATAATAATCTTTGATGACTGAGGTATTGGTTTGACCGGTTGGCAAAAATGCAGCAACCTTCACCAAAAGCAGAGTACCGTATGAGCTATATGGGTTGTTATTCTTCCATAACTGCCACATGAGGAACCTTCTGCTAGTTCAAATCAGAGGGTATCTGGAAAGAGGTCCCCTGGCAGATAGCTGAGCATCTAATTCCAGGGAGAGAAATATGAGTGCACTAGGAAAGTAAAGATCAAGGTACAGTGACTTGCTGAGCTTATTAACTCCAACACCCTTATAGTTGACCTCCAGAGTCCAGCAGCTCTATTCCTGGAGGTGAGCAGCATTTAGCAGAAACTAGACATAAAGCAGAGAGAAAGTTGGGGGTTTTGTCTGATAATTTAAGACTCTTAGAGCTGGAGCCATTCACCATCAAAGATGCTTGTAGGTGACAAAGAGACATTCGTACTTTTAAAAAATACAAGTGTAAACTGAAGCAATCCTGGGCTTGGGACTTGGCAAGGTATTTACATCTCTCCTAAAGAAAGGCAAACAGGATCAGGGTTCAAGATCATTTAAGCAGAGACAGAAAACAGCCGCCTCAAGAATCAGGTTGCTGCATATGTAATTCAGGTAGACAGTATGAGCTTGTGCATGTCCAAGATGTACACACTGATAGAACCAAGGATAGATACATTAATTAGAAAGGAGGTTCTGGCTCAAAGACAAGAAAAATGAAATAATCAATATGTCAAGGGGAACTTGTTTGCAGTGATGGATGGAACATATGGTAAGTGGTGACCCCTGGAAAGCAGTCAATATTGATGGAGTTAGACGGTCATTTGGGGGCTGTTTACAAAGAGGGTGGGGCAGAAAGGTGCTGCCCTCTCTGAATGAATAGACTGCAATGCTTTGGAGAAGCCAGTCAAATCTTGATGTGGAATAGATTTCACGAATAAGCAATCTTGGGATTTCTCTAGGCTGAAACATATTCATTCTAATAAGTCCTTCTTGGCACAATTAGCCTTTCCTTTCCCTCCTCACATTGTCTTTTATTTTATTCTGTGTTCTTGTAGCAGGAGAAAATTACCCAACTGCCTCTCATAATGCTCTTCTTATAGAATGTAAGCTCTGTGAAGGTGGGGGGATTTGGCTTGATTTTCTTCTCCCCTGCTTTATCTCCAGTGTCTAGAGCAGCATCTGGTGCTTAGTACATGCTCCATCCATATTTATTGGAATGTCTGCCTTTCCCCTCTTGGTTTTTCTTTCTACTCCTCACTGCTTTTCCCATGAATTTTATTTATTTATTTATTATTTATTTATTTATTTATTTATTTATTTATTTATTTATTTTGAGACAGAGTCTTGTTCTGTTGCCCAGGCTGGAGTGCAGTGGTGCAATCTCGGCTCACTGCAATCTCTGCCTCCCCGGTTCAAGCGATTCTCCTGCCACAGCCTCCTGAGTAGCTGGGATTACAGGCGTGCGGGCGCGACGACACCCAGCTAATTTTCGTAATTTTAGTAGAGATGAGGTTTCACCCTGTTGGCCAGGCTGGTCTCAAACTCCCAACCTCAGGTGATCTCCTGGCCAAGCCTCCCAAAGTGTTGGGATTATAGGTGTGAGCCAGCGCGCCTGGCCTCTACTCCTCATTGCTTTCTACTCACTTTCCTGTTTCAACTTGCTTCCAGAAACCTGAGCTAGCTAGGATAAAAACAAATAATAGAAACCTTTCTATGGTGCTGAAAGCATCTCAGATTTATCGACTCCCTTCCCTAAACACTCTCAGTAGAAAGAATCCATTGGGTAACAATTCTGGCTGAGTCATCATTCAGTCTGTGCTTGATTACCTCCACAACAGGGAGCTCACTTCTATTCTGAATTCTCTATTGCATTTCTGGAGATTTTGAACGGTTTCGTTGCCTTGTTTTACATTTAATGTGATATGCCTTCTTACAACGTTCACATACCCGGGATCTTACCTACCATCAACCCAGTAAGTCTATGGACAATCTATTATTTGAAGAAAGACACGTTCCCATCCCCCACCCCCAAGCTAAACATAGTAGTTTATGGATTCTTCATCATGCTTGAAATCCACTTTTGGCTCCGTGGTAACCTGAGGATGTCTCCTTTTAAAATGTCATGCTCAGAGGTGAATCTGTTGAAAATAAAACAGTGGTTTGACCAGCATAGAATAGAGTAGGATTATTTCCTTTCAAGAACTGAAAAATCACACATATATGAATTGCAGTACCAGTAAGGCTCAAACAAAACTTTTTTGCAATGACATTTTAAAAAGCATCCTCGGCCAGGCACGGTGGCTCACGCCTATAATCCCAGCATTTTGGGAGGCTGAGGCGGCCAGATCACCTGAGGTCAGGAGTTCGAGATCAGCCTGGCCAACATGGTGAAACTCCGTCTCCACTAAAAATACAAAAAAAAAATTAGCTGGGTGTGGTGGTGCATGCCTGTAATCCCAGATACTTAGGAGGCTGAAGTGGGAGGATCGCTTTAACCCAGGAGGCGGAGGTTGCAGTGAGCCAAGATCACGCCACTACACTCCAGCCTGGGTGACCGAGTGAGACGCCGTCTCAAAAACGAACGAATAAACAAACAGAAACCATCCTGATGTTTTTCCTTTTCATTCATGCTTCTGTCTGTTCCATGATCTTACTTGTTTTTGGTTCTTAGGCCAGCTTGTGAGGGTTACTTTGCAACCTGATGATTATCCATTTCTGGGTATTTATTCCTTCTAGATTTGTATCATCTGCCTAGTCCTAGGTCTGCAATTTCCTAGGTAAGGTGAGCACGTATACTAGGTGTCCATCCAAGCTACTGATAACAGGTTGAACAGGACATCCTCAGAAAGCAGCATCTTGCCATCCCACTAGAAACCTTGTTTCAGGGTTTATGACTGTTATCTACTTTCTTCAGGAGGGTAGTATCTCTCTGCAATAGATACACATTCAGCTAACATTAGACCATCTCATACATCTGATCTTGCTGAAATTGTGACATATGTCTGAATAGCATGTTCTTCAGCTACAATTGTAGTGGATCTATCAAGAAAGAAAATGTGGTCGGGTATGGTGGCTCACGCCTGTAATCCCAGCACTTTGGGAGGCCAAGGTGGGCAGATCACTTGAGGCCAGGAGTTCAAGACCAGCCTGGCCAAGGTGGTGAAGCCCCGTCTCTTCTAAAAATACAAAAATTAGCTGGGCATGCTGGCGCACACGTGTAATCCTAGCTACTCGGGAGACTCAGGCAGGAGAATTGTTTGACCCCAGGAGACGGAGGTTGCAGTGAGCCCAGATCACACCACTGCACTCCAGCCTGGTGACACAGCAAGACTCTGTCTCACAAAAAAAAAAAAAAAAAAGAAAAAAAAGAAAAAAAAGTAAAAGAAAGGATGAAGTCCAACAGAGCTTAAAGAGGAAAGGAAGGAAGTAAGCAAGGAAGGAAGGGAAGAAAATATACAAGCCAGACACTTGCCCCTTACTATGGAAGAGAGGTGAAGGGTCGAACTCTCAGTAGAAAATTGGACTTCTGGCCACGTGTGGTGGGTCACTTCTGTGATCCTAGCACTTTGGGAGGCCTGATCACCTGAGCTCAGGAGTGCGAGACCAGCCTGCTCAACATGATGAAACCACATCTCTACAAAAAACACAAAAAAATTAGCTGGGCATGGTGGCATGCCCCTGCAGTCCCAGCAGGTTGAGGCTGCAGTGAGCCAAGATCATGCCACTGCACTCTAGCCTGGGTGACAAAGTGAGACTCTCTCTCAAAAAAAAATAAAAAAATGGACTTTTTCTGAGCCAACTGGAATATATATGGAATCCTGAAAACTATTTGATCAGTTCTTTATTTCAGGTTCAATCCATAAGCAGGGGCTCTTAAACTAAATGGAATTCAAAATCAGTTGGTGGAGAGCTTGTTTAAAAAGCAGAATCCTGAACTCCACCTCCGAAGTCCTGAGTCCGTGGGCCATGGTAGGCCCGGGCGGTTTGTGTTTTCATCGAGGTTCCTTAGGTGGTTCTGTTGCTGAATGCCAGCGGTTCATTCTAGGTTTGGTTGCTCACCACACAGAAAGCCAATTGCTGAGACAAGGAGACTTACCAGGAAGAAAGGCTTTTCTATGGGTGACATTAGTTGGAGGGACACGGGAGGTGAAACCTTAAGACCCTCTCTACTCTGCAACCCCTCTGACTACAGGCAGGGGTTCATATAGTGGGGAAGGAAAACAGGAGGGGTAGGGAAGACAAATTGGCCAACAGCCAGCAGTTGCATCTCATTATCTGGGTGCTGTGATCTGGAAAGCCTCAGTTTCCTGATACCATCAGGGAGGCCTGGTCAGTTTCTAAGACAGGAACTCAAATTAGGCCGGGCGCTGTGGCTCACGCCTGTAATCCCAGGACTTTGGGAGGCCGAGGCGGGCAGATCACGAGGTCAGGAGATCAAGACCATCCAGGCTAACACGGTGAAACCCCGTCTCTACTGAAAATACAAAAAATTAGCCGGGTTTGGTGGCGGGCGCCTGTAGTCCCAGCTACTCGGGAGGCTGAGGCAGGAGAATGGCGTGAACCCAGGAGGCGGAGCTTGCAGTGAGCCGAGATGGCGCCACTGCACTCTATCCTGGGCAACAAGAGCAAGACTCTGTCTCAAAAAAAAAAAAAAAAGGAACTCAAATAAGACAAATGTAAGTTTTTCAAACTTCAAGTCTATGGGAGGATTGGGCCCTGTTCAGTTCTGATGCAGTTGGATGATAGACCGCATGTGGACAAACAGCCACACTGAGCCATGCAGTGCTTCACACTTGGCTCTTGCTCTCTAGCCCCCCAATGTCCACCCTGCTCTCCATGATGAGACTCCCCCAACCCTTGCAAATGCTATTGTGTGTGTGTGGTTTTTTTTTTGTTTGTTTGTTTTTTTGAGACGGGATCTCTCTCTCTCACCCAGGTTGGAGTACAGTGGCATGATCCTAGCTCACTGCAGCCTTGAACACCTGGGCTCAAGGGATCCTCCCTTCTCAGCCTCCCTTGTAGCTGGGACCACAGATGCTCACCACCATGCAGGCTAATTTTAAAAGTTTTTGTAGAGACGGGAATCTCACTATGTTGCCCAGGCTAGTCTTGAACTCCTGGGCTCAAGTGCTTCTCCCACCTTGGTCTCCCAAAATATTGGGATCACAGGCATGAGCCACTGTGCTCAGCCCATGTTTCTGCTCTTCGCTTTTACAATTCTTTCTCCACATTTAAGTTGGCCCATCCTGTGATCTGTTCATTTGCAGCCTACCTTCCTAATACACCTAAATGAGGTTACATGTGTATAATTAAGGCTTCTTTTTTTTTTTTTTTTTAATTTTTTTGAGATGGAGTCTTGCTCTTGTCACCCAGGCTGGAGTGCAATGGCATGATCTCGGCTCATTGCAACCTACACCTCCCAGGTTCAAGTGATTCTCCTGCCTCAGCTTTCCGAGTAGCTGGGATTACAGGCACCTGCCACCACGCCTGCCTAATTTTTTTTTTTTTTTTTTTGTATTTTTAGTAGAGACGGGGTTTTGCTATGATGGCCAGACTGGTCTCAACTCCTGACCTCGTGTCCACCCACTTCCACCTCCCAAAGTGCTGGGATTACAGGCGTGAGCTACGGCGCCCGGCTGTGTATAATTAACGGCATAAACTACAAGTGTTGGTAGAGATTGGGCCAGGCATCTCAGCAGGCTCAGGTGTGGCATATTAGAGGATGGGTTAAATTTTGTATAACCTGTAAGCAATGCCATTATGTGGTTGCCTTCTCTACATTTACCCAGGGACAGATCCAAACTTATAGCCTGTGAATCTGGTGACAATAATATCACTTATTGGACAATGACTACTGGCCAGTTACCTTACATTTATTATCCTTTTTAATCATCATACAAGGGCACATCTGGGATTTGTAGGGCCTGAAGTTTGTACGATTTGGGAAGCTTGGTTTAAGAACACGGACAAAGCCCAGGTGTGGCGACTCATACCTGTAATCCCAGCACTTTGGGAACCCAGCATGGGTGAATTGCTTGAGCCCAGGAGTTTGACACCAGCCTAGGCAACACGGTGAAACCCCGTCTTTACAAAAAAAAAATACAAAAATTAGCTGAGCATGGTGGCACATGCCTGTGATCCCAGCTACTTGGGAGGCTGATGTAGAAGGATCGAGGCTGCAGTAAGCCATGGCCATTGCACTCCAGTCTGGGCAATAGAGTCCCTGTCTCAAAAACAAATACCTTCCCCCTGCAAAAAAAAAAAAAAAAAAAAAAAAAGGAAAAGAAAAGAAAAGAAAAGGACAAATACAGGATGAGGTACAGGGCCTTGGAAGAGACCCACGTAAGTGCGCAGTCCTGGTGATTAAGTTTCATTAGCATCACTGCAAAGCCCCCTGGGTCTTTGACCAATGCTAAGAGGCAGCGGCGTAAAACCTGTGGTGCAATTAGCAAAACTGACTCAGCAAGCTTGAACACCTTGCCGGGTATCATGCAGTTGAATATGGTAGAAGTGGGAATTGAAGCCAGGTGTGCCTCACTCCAAAGGTTACACCCCTGCTGCCCTGACAAGTAACAATGGGCCTCTTCCAGTGAAATGCTTCCGTGGTTGCCTGCTGCTCTTGGTTTTGGTGTCATCTTGTTTTACGACTTCCCTGCACATCCTGATTTGAGGACAAGAACGAACGAGAAGATTTAAAGTGAAAAAGGACATTGAGTTGATTTGAATGAGAAATATATCTGCAAGGAGGTATGTAGATGAGTGTGTTCTGTCTCAGTCTCTCTAATCAATTTCCAAAGGATTCACTAAATTACGGGTCCAAGAGTTTATTTCTTTTCTTTTCTTGCTCTATGCCAGGCTGGAGTACAGTGGTGCAATCTTGGCTCACTGCAGCTTCAACCTCTTGGGCTCAGGCGATTCTCCCACTTCAGCCTCCTGAGTAGCTGGCACTACAGACTTGTGCTATCAGGCCTGGCTAATTTTTTTTTTTTTGAGACGGTCTTGCTCTGTCGCCCAGGCTAGAGTGCAGTGGCACAATCTTGGCTCACTGCAACCTCCACCTTCCGGGTTCAAGTGATTCTCCTGCCTCAGCCTCCCAAGTGGCTGGGACTACTGGTGCTCACCACCATGCCCGGCTAATTTTTGTGTTTTTAGTAGAGATGGGGTTTCACCATGTTGCCCAGGCTGGTCTGAAACTCCTGACCTCAAGTGATCCACCCACTTCAGCCTCCCAAAGTGCTGGGATTATAGTCGTGAGCCACGGCGCCTGGCCAGCTAACTTTTTTGCTTTTTCTTGTAGAGAGGAGGTCTCACTATGCTGCCTAGGTTGGTTTCGAATGCCTGGGCTCAAGGAATCCTCCCGCGTTGGCCTTCCAAAGTGCTGACATTACAGGCGTGAGCTACCTTGCTTGGCCAGGTCCAAGGGTTTAAACACTATTCTTTTCTTTTGCATTTTGTTTTGATGAAATAGCAATTAGAACTAAAATAGAATTTTGTTATTTAAGAATATTTAACACAAAGTCTTGATAAAAAGATTGCTTGTGAATGGGAGGGAAGGGAGAGATAAGTAACTCATATTTTTTGAGAGATTATTGTGTGCTAAGCATATAATCCTCAATGTGAAACTTTGGGATAGACACACACATCTCAATTTCGCCAATGACTGAGGGGACTGAGACTCAGATTAAGTAAATAGGTCAAATCTATACTATCACAGCAGGGAAGAGGCTGCTATTTGTTTTAAGACAAAATTTCTACAAAACACCATGTCAAATCCACATGTATTTTAACAAAAGTTAATTTAACCCAAGATAGTGGTTTTCTGCAAAAGAAAAAAAATGAGTCTCATTTTCAGATATGAAATATGATTTATCCTATATGGTATTGCATCACTGACATTTTTTAATTGCAGTCTATTTAAGGGGTTAGTTAAAAAGAATTTGAAGGACCTATTAACACACGGTACAAAAATGTGACAGAAGACTAAGAGAACAGACAATCCCAATTTCTAATTGTGAAATCAGACCCTGCTTGGGTTCAGTGCGGATTTGCAGCAAGCTCATTAAAGTCCTGTAAGGGACCATCTCTCTACTCAGAGCTGACTGCGTTGAGCCCCTCTGAGAAATGATGTGATTGTTAGCCCAAGTCTGACATATAGGGCTATATGTCAACCTCTGACCTTACAAAGGTGGGAAGTTTCCTTGAGGGCTTAGAAAATATTTCTCTGCCTTGATCATCTGTAGAGAACTGTTCCTAGATTATTCTTGACACAAAAGGAAAGTAATCGTTGTGAATGCAAACTTTGAAGGTCTTTGAATACACAAAGTAATAAAGAATAGTATGTCTGGGCCATACAATAGGTAATAATGGGAATGCAAACCTTAACTTCTGCCTGGAACAATTTTATTCCAGCCTTATTCAGTGAGAACATGCCAATTTCACACCATAGTAAGAAACTATAATTTTGGTCTCTTTTTGGCACACTGGACATATACATTGTATTATAAAAATTACACGATAGAGGTATATTTTCTCTTACAGATTTCCCCGTTTATATTTCCTTTTCTTTTTTGGAGACAGAGTCTAGCTCTGTCGCCAGGCTGGAGTGCAGTGGCACGATCTTGGCTTACTGTAACCTCCTCCTCCCAGGTTCAAGCAATTCTCCTGCCTCAGCCTCTCCAGTAGCTGGGAACACCAGCATGTGCCACCATGCCCAGCTAATATTTGTATTTTTAGTAGAGACGGGGTTTCACCATGTTGACCAGGCTGGTCTTGAACTCCTGACCTCAAGTGATCACCCACCTAGGCCTCCCAAAGTGCTGGGATTACAGGTGTGAGCCACTGTGCCCAGCCCCCTTTATATTTTCATCTTTTCAGAGGATGTCTCAAACAAAAGTCACCAATTTACTTAGGGTCAATATAGCAGAAAAAAATAAAGAGTTTGTCCCTTAATATAGTCTCGGCAGAATTACTGTCAAATCTAACAATTCATAATGATAGTAGTGTTGTTTAGGTTTCTATTGCTTTCTTTTCATCATTTTCGTAGGATCATGCTTCCTCGATTTTTCTCAGACTGTGTTGCTAGTGGTTCACTGATTTCAACCCAGCTGCAATTCTTCGGATATCTGTCAGGACCCTTTCCAGGGTCTGAGCAGGTCTTATTTGCAGAGTGCTCACTCGGACCAATGAAGCAGAGGCAGCCAGCTGGGCGCATCAGCAGTTGGCATGCCTTCCCCACTCGGTTTCTAACCATATGCCTCGTTCCACGTTTTGGCACGGGCTCCGCGCGTGTGTGTAGGAGCAGCCTAATGGACAGCTGCAGCCTACTCGAAGGAGGTAACCCTTCTGAGATAATCAGATCTGCTTCCTCCACGGCTCTGTGAATTTTACCTTGCCCCTCCACAGGGCGAGAGTCTGTGATGATTGCCATGGTGATCAATTTGTCCCCTGGGAACCAGCTAGAGACCATCACACTGATTCTATGTAGGCCATTAGGTAATGCTGAGAATCTTGGAGAGAATTGCATTTTTCTATGAAAAGAATCCCTGTGGACGGCCGGTGCGAGGTTTAATTGGACTGTATAGTTAATGCTGACTGAGAGGGGACAAAGGGTCCGGGGAAATAGTCACAGAAGTGAACTGACTGATGGGTTAGTCATATTCCGCTCCACTGTTCTTTTTTAGATATTTAACAGGAAGGAGGTGAATCTCAGTGTTTTAGGGCCAAAAGCGAGGACCTATTTGCAAGTAATGGATTTGCAGATAACAAATAGTTGGGAAATTTTTAGAATACAGCATGCATTTAGGACTTCATTGCTAGGACACCTGAAAAGTAATTGTTGCTTCTTAGAGACAAATTACTAGACATCAGCTCGGCTGGAGACCACATTCCCTTTCTTCCCAGTTCTTGCTGAGATTTTGCCATAGACCAACTAACCACTCATGGGCAGCTTTCTGGACCTTAGGAACCTCATCTCTGTCTTTGCAGACATTGTTCAATCAACCTTGTTCTGATACTGGGAACTCCATTGTGGGGTTGAGCACCGCAGTCCTCTGTGAGCTCCTTCTGAAGTCTTCAAACAGTGATTTTAGGATGGCTACCTAAGCCATTAATGAGAGTTATGTGGATTCATAGGCATGACCAATTTGTTAATATCGCTACAATTTGGTGCATGCTGTTCTATGCTGTGTCTGTAGGCCCTCAAGTAAAAGTCATCAAGGCGACTTGCCCTGAGTGGTCATACAGTCGATTAGAGGAGGGAGGCAAGACTAATATTAAAGTCATCTGGCTTAAATTGAATGCACTTTATGGTTACAGGCTTGCATTGGCTTTGCTTGCTATTCTTGGCTGTTCAGATTTTCTAACTTCAATGTATATTGGACTAGTCTTACAGAGTTCCAGCTATGCTAATTCCTATGTTCAAACTCTCTTTTTCCACTGGGATTTCCATGCCTAGCAAATAAGAATGTCAGCAGAGAAGAAGAGCATCCCATTCTGGAATATTCTAATCCACTACCAAAGCCTCTCCCTACCATGCAGGTTTCCACAGTCACCTTAATACCATTTCTATTCAAGGCTCTCCACACTTCACCTTCCTTTATACCTTCCTGTACCTCAGCCCGTGGTTTCTATTTATCTCAGATGCACACATACAAGGTGTTATTTATTAAGAAACAGGGTCTTGATCTGTCTCCCAGGCGGGAAGTACAGTGGTGTGAACACGGCTCACTGAAGTCTCAACCTCCTGGACTCAAGTGATCCTCCCACCTCAGCCTGCTCGTAGCTCGGACTACAGGTGCATCCCACCAAGCCTGGCTAATTTTTAAATATTTTGTGGAGACAGGAGTCTCACTATTTTGCCCAGGATAGTCTTGAACATTTGGACTCAAGTGATCCTCCTGCCTTGTCCTCCCAAAGTGCTGGGATTAAAGTTGTGAGCCATTGCACCCAGCCCACAGGGTGTTATTAAGTTGGCTGAGACCCTGCTTGGAGACTTCTTCTCCCCCAGAACACTGAGCTGTTTCTCTTCCACCTATCACTAGATGCTGTTACATCCGCTAGTTTTCCCTGCAGCCCCCCTCAAGAGATGAGAGTAAAGCTGACCATTCCCTTTACAGGGAGCAAGTTAAACTCAGCGGCCCCTTTCCTTGATGCCATCTTGATAATCTATGTCTTAATTTATGTTATCAAGATGTATTCATTTGAACAGCTACTAAGCAACATGTTTTAGACCATTTCTGATAAAGTTTTCCTCTTCTATATTCCTATAACTGATGATCTTTGTCAGCCTAACAAAACTAGCAAAGTATTATGCACTAAATGTGTAACAAAGTAATGTGCTAGGTAAAAACTAAGAACATGTAATCACTGCAAATGCACATATACACCAAATAAACAGGACCTAAACAGTCACGCTTAATGGACATTTAGTAGATGCTTCCAGAAGATGATGGTGATGATTCATGAGATTTGGTTAAGCAAATCACAGCTGCTCAAAATATGATTGAAAATTCCTTAATTTTAGCTGATGGCCTCAAAACTATTTGGATTGTAGATTTTATTACTATTGCTTTGTTGTCTAGCAACTTTTCTGAATTTGTTTGTCGGTGAAGTTTTATTCTTTCTCTTAAAGGTCAAGCTTTTTTTTTTTTTTTTTTTTTTTCTGCATTTTCCTTCTTTTTTTGAGATGGAGTTTCATTCTTGTTGTCCAGGCTGGAGTGCAGTGGCCTGGTCTTGACTCACTGCAACCTCTGCCTTCCCAGGTTCAAGGGATTCTCCGGTTTCAGCCTCCTGAGTAGCTGGGATTACAGGCATGTGCCACCACTCTGGGCTAATTTTGTATTTTTGGTAGAGACGGTGTTTCACCCTGTTGGTCAGGCTGGTCTCAAACTGCTGACATCAGGTGATCTGCCCACCTCAGCCTCCCAAAGTGCTGGGATTACAGGTGTGAGCCACCATGCCTGGCCTCCTCTTTCTTTTATTTTTGATTCTTTTTCTTTCTAAAACTTAATTTCTGTTTCATATTCATTTTCCCATAGCTTCAGTAGTTCCTGCAAAATGTTGTTGTCATAACTCAGCAACATCCGTTCATCATTTGTCTACATTCTGGTTGTGATAGCATTCTCCCTTGGTGCAGACACTATAAGAAGCAAAGGAGAAAACAAATGCTTGACTCATTAATCATTTTCTCAGTCTCCACGTCAACTGAGACCATGACAAAGGTTAATCATAAAGCAGGTGTCCATCTGTACCGGTCAGTGCTCATGAACAGCAGTCATCAATGAGTCATCTCTGAATCAAGAACTTCTGTAGATGATTGTGTACTTTTCAAATAAAGGTCAACCATTTGGGCTAGGTTAAAACCACTGGTGGAGCCAAGGTGCAGAAAGTCATGTACAAGTCCAAAAAATGGACATAAACATTAGCTTACAGTTGTTTTGAACCTTTGCACTCTTTTAAAATAAGGTTCCTTATTAAAAGAAGCCTTTTAATAGGTAAGTTTAGTAAGGTTTCTTTAACACATCTATTTCTTTGCCAAAGAACTTGATGGACTAAGGGTAGTTTCAGATGGCTCTAAAATTTCACTTTCAAAATTCATTAAATTGTATTTAAGTTTGTTTTATATCTTATGAGACTCTCCACCTTATGAAAATTTCATCACTTTTTAAAGTTAATTCCATTAATCTTCCAAGTCTTTCTTTGATCTTATGAGATATGAACTAATGTTATAAGTTCTCTGAAAAAATGTTTATATCTGTTTAAATTCCTCATTAATTTCTATCGAAATATGCTTAAAATGTTATAGAAAAATTTCATTTTTTTAAAGAAGTATATATCAGACAAGGCTGTATTTATTTTTAATAGGCTTAAACATTGTATCTGAATTAAAAATTTTAAAAGAATAATTGGAATGGGTTAAGAGTTGAGATAGGGCCAGGTGCAGTGGGTCACACCTGTAATCCCAGCACTTTTGGAGGCTGTACTGGGGGGATTGCTTGAGCCCAGGAATGGTTGAGACCAGCCTGGGCAACACAGTGAGACCCCATCTCTGAACAAAATTGAAAAAAATAGCTGGGCGTGGTGGTGGTGGTGCATGCCTGTAGTTCTAGGCTGAGGAAGGAGGATCATTTGAGCCTGGGAGTTCAAAGCTACATTGAGCTATGATTGCACTGCACTCCAGCCTGGGTAACAGAGCCAGACCCTATCTCAAAAAAAGAAAAAAAAAAGAAAAAGGAAAAAAGTTGACTTACAAATGAAGTTAATGGAGGAAAGCTGTTTGAACCAAAACAGCAGGCACAGGTATATCCAACAAGCAAAAAAGGGAACGATAAGGACAAGGAGTTCTGAAACTAGCAGACCTGATCTGAAGTCTAGGCCAAGCTCTAACTGGCTGTGAGACTTGGGGCAGGTGGGTGCGCTGCTCTGAGTTGTGCTCACGTGTGTAACGGAGGTGGTGATGATGATGCCGCCTGGCTACCTTCCTAGGGTCTTTCTGAGGAACACAGGAGCAGAGTGCTTAGCTGCGTGCTGCACAGCATGGACTAAATATTTTATTTTTTAAAGTTTGCTTATTCACTTTATGCTTTCATGTTTAAAAACTAGAAAAAAGCTTTTTCTTTAGAATGCTCACTAGAGGGTCAGGCGCGGTGGCTCACGCCTGTAATTCCAGCACTTTGGGAGGCCAAGGCAGGCAATCTCTTGAGGTCATGAGTTTGAGACCAGCCTGGGCAACATGGCGAAACCCAGTCTCTACTAAAAATACAAATATTAGCTGAGTGTGATGGTGCATGCCTGTAGTCACATAGTCCCAGTTACTGAGGAGGTTGAGGTGGGAGGACCGCTTGAGCCTGGGAGGTTGAGGCTGCAGTGAGCTGAGATCACAACGCTGCACTCTACTGTAGCCTGGGCAACAGAGCCAGACCATGTAAAAAAAAAAAAGATGCTCACTATGGGTGAAAGATATGACTCAAGATACTCCCATGCTTAAGAAAAAAATGTAATGATACAACTAAGGCCTGAGATGTAAAGGAATCACCATTTTCGTCTACTCTGGGTGAAATTGAACCTAAGTCTTTTTTTGTTTTGGTTTTAATTGACAAACGAGGATTATATATACTTACCAGGTACAATGGGATGTTTCCATACATGTATGCATTGTGGAATGAGCAAATCAGGCTAATTAGCATATCCATCACCTCAAATATTTATCACTTCTTTATGGTGAGAACATTTAAAATTCCTTTCTATTTAGCCTCAATACTAGAGGACAACTAACTAAAAATCTACCCCCCCAATTTTTTTTTTTTTTGAGATGGAGTTTTGCTCTTGTTGCCCAGGCTGGAGTGCAATGGCTTGATCTCGGCTCACTGCAACCTCTGCCTAATGGGTTCAAGCGATTGTCCCACCTCAGCTTCTGAGTAGCTGGGATTACATGTGCCTGCCACCACACCCGGCTAGTTTTTTATTTTTAGTAGAAAAGGGGTTTTGTCATGTTAGCCAGGCTGGTCTCGAACTCCCTACCTCAGATGATCCACCTGCCTCGGCCTCCGAAAGTGCTGGGATTACAGGCGTGAATCACCACACCCGGCCTAAAATCCCCGTTTTAAGATTTTTATTTATTTCTATTTTTTTTTAAATATAGATGGGGTGGGGTGGTGGGTCTCACTTTGTTTTCCAGGCTGGTGTTGAACTCTGGGGCTCAAGTGATCCTCCTGCCTTGGCGTCCCAAAGTCACGGGATTACAGGTGTGAGCCATTACAATCTGCCTGTTTCTAGGTTTGAATGCCTTCAGGTGGACCCAGCCTTTCCAGTTGGCCGCAGGCTCCATCACTTCCTCTTGTCTCTCCTTTCACCCATTTCCCACGTTTCTCCAGTCTCTTACCTGTTCAGACAAAGATAAGTTGTGGATTTAGTTACATCAGTTTAAACATTTTTGTTGGTGGGGTAGTGGGGCGAGGTTCTCTGATCTAAGCCCGACCGTGAACTTGAGAGAAAATTATCACAAATCTATGCCACAAATAAATGTAGGTACTCAGAATCCCCAAGGCTACATCCACAATCATAAACAACTGCAGTGATGGCTAACACACGCCCTTCAGGCCCCAGCAAACTTTACCCACTTTTTTTTTTTTTTTTTTAAGACAGAGTCTTGATCTGTCACCCAGGCTGGAATGCAGTGGTGTGATCGTGGCTTACTGCAACCTCTGCCTCCCAGGTTCAAGCAATTCTCCTGCCTCAGCCTCCCAAGTAGCTGGGATTACAGGCATGCACCACCACGCCCAGCTAATTTTGTATTTTTAGCAGAGACAGGGTTTCACCATGGTGGCCAGGCTGGCCTTGAACTCCTGAGCTCAGGCAATCCACCCTCCTTGGCCTCCCAAAGTGCTGGGATTACAGGCATGAGCCACCACGCCCGGCCACATTTCTTGCTGCTTCACCTTGAAACAAAAGGGGGCTGCACTTGATTGCCCTCAAGGATTGCCTATGAGATTTGTGAGTTTGCTGACTCTGCAGCTGGTTGCTGCTTGGGAGGGCTGGGTTGGAGAGGGATCTGGGGACTTGGACTGGGCTTTGTGGGTTTTTTTTTTTTTTTTTTTTTTTTTGAGACGGGGGCTTGCTCTGTTGTCCAGGCTGGAGTGCAATGGTGCGATCTCAGCTCACTGCAACTTCCACCTCCTGGGTTCAAGCTATTTTCCTGCCTTAGCCTCCTGAGTAGCTGGGATTACAGGCGCGTGCCACCATGCCCAGCCAATTTTTGTATTTTTAGTAGAGACAGGGTTTCACCATGTAGGCCAGGCTGGTCTTGAACTCCTGACCTCATGATCCACCCATGTTGGCCTCCCAAAGTGCTGGGATTGCAGGTGTGAGCCACCATGCCCGGCCAATGGGACTGGGCTTTGAATAGTGGATGTACCTAATTAATGGGAAGACAAAAGAATTAAGTTACCAAAGTTTTCCTCTCAAATGGTATACACCCAATAGATTCTTGTATAGCAAGTAGAACCTAAAAACTGAGAACTCAAAGCTAAAAACTGAACCTCAGTAGAACCAAGAGGTTAGTTTTTAGTTTTCCTTCCTTTCCCCACTCATGGTTCTAGAGGTACTAAGCAGTATGGAATTTACAAGACAGGCGGGTATTTGCAGAGGAGCATTTTGTTGCATTAAATGAGTCATGTCATTCTTCAGTTTCTACATATAGTACGGGAGCGGTGGCTCACACCTGTAATCCCAGCACTTTGGGAGGCCGAGGTGGGCTGATCGCTTGAGCCCAGGAGTTCAATACCAGCCTGGACAACAAAGTGAGACCTCGGCTCTCCAGAAATAAATAAAATTAGCCTGGTTTGATGGTGTGTGCCTGTAATTCCAGCTACTTGTGAGGCTGAGGCAGGAGAGTGGCTTGAACCCAGGAGGTGGAGGTTGCAGTGAGTTGAGATAATGCCACTGCACTCTAGCTTGGGCAACACAGCAAGACTGTCGCTAAAAAATAAAAAATTAACTGGGTATGGTGGCACATGCCTGTAGTCCCAGCTACTCAGGCTGAGGTCGGGGTGGGAGGATCCCTTGAGCCTAGGAGGTTGAGGCTGCGGTGATCTATGATCACACCACTACAATCCATCCTGGGTAACAGAGTGAGATCCTGACTCAAAAAAAAAAAAAAAAAAAAAAAAAGTTTCTACATATATGTAGGCTTAGGAGTATAAAGCAGATATAAATTCTTTACAATGGCAATTAAGTGAACACTGAAGTCTAGAATTACAAGTAGTTTCATTTTTATGAGTATACTTAATGAGATTGAATTAAATTTTCAAAAACTATTTAAATTTAGTTAATTAAACTTGTCATATACATTAATTATAATGTGTATTTTCCCTTGATTTTAATTAATCTCTATTATAGAAGAAAACACCTTTTTTAAAAGAACATACAAATATTTGATTTTTTGCATTTATATTAATTTTCCTTTTAGATAAAATATGCTCAAGTTTTGGACACAATTAAAAAATTTAAAAATTCTTTAGGTGATGATTGATAATTGAGCAAAAATTATGTAAATATCTTCATTATAATAGCATAATTATTGATTTTTGTGGAAAGGCAAAGAAACTATGAAACTCTAATTTATGAAGTATATATCATTATGTTATTACTCATCTAATCATCACTGGTGCATTGACAAAATATTTGGACATATACAAAAATAATTAAATTCAGCCACCTTCTGTTTTACTGACTTTTAGTCACATAAAATTCATAGCTTAATATACTGTTTTTTATTAAGATATATTTGTGAAGGCGGGGGAACAATAAATAATTTTGTAGATTTTTGGCTGGATTTTTAATGTGAAAATATTTAAACAAATATTATATCTGTCTACATTTGTCAACTTAACCTTCTATTCCCCAGATGTTAGCAGCAGGTCTAGAATGAGGCAGAGTGGAGCATCTAAAGGGAGACAGTTACTCTCATTTCCCTACTGAATTCTAGAGAAGATTTTATAGAAACATGGCAGAAATTACGTTGTACTGACCTCGCAGAAATTGACCCATGTATTTCTGTTTGGTTAATTGTGGTTCCATATTCAAAGTTCCTTGACTCAAGAAGTTGCTGTGTCTCTCATAGTCCTTGTCTATAAAAACAGACACTCTGGTAGTAGAATTGCATCAAATACTGATCAAGAAAACAAAAAGGAATTAGAGGGTGGAATTTATAATAACCACTCTTCTTTAAAAAAAAAAGTGGGGTTGATGTCTTACTGTGGGGAAACTTAGAGACATTTTAGAGGTGTCATTTTTACTAAAATTGTGCTTAGATTTTATGTCATTTTAGCGATGAACATATTTATGTACTCTTTCTCTACAAAAATATTATGTACCTACTTGGGTATTTACATGAAAATGGAAGCACTCTAGATGAGTTAGTAACAGTCTTATCATATGAGGTATGCATCATACTGTTATTATGTGAATTTGGGATTAAAATACATTCAAAGTTCGTTCTTTACAGAACTTACCAACTCAGTTCTATTTTTTCCTTGTAAGTATTTAAAAACACACAGCTTTTTATACTATGAAAACACACATTTGTAAAAATGGGATTGCGTCTGTGCTGATGTTAAAGTTTACTGAATTTTTCTCACTTGACTGTGAGTGAAATTAATGTGGATAGTTTTACGTGAGGGCCATGTGACTTACCTCTGGGGAAAAGTCTTGAACTTTTCTCCCTAGAACCTGAACACGAATGTCTGTCACTCTTGTAGTTATTTTGAGACCCGCCTCTAAAAGATAAAGTGTGGCTTTGAGCAAAACTGATCTCTTTTCCTAACAGCTGCTGTATTTATGGGAAAATGTCCCTGCCTGTGACTATCCGATGATTCTGTCATCTTATCTGTTGAACACTTGAGTAGCTTGACATTGATGATTTCTCATGTTTCTTGTGACCTTCGGGGCTTCCTTACTGGAGGCTTCAAGGATAAAGACCTCAGTTGTAAGCTCCTTAACTCCTAGAGAGGAAAGAGCCTGCTTTTATCTTTCCATGTGTTCCAGATACAATACTTTAATTTTCTAAGTGTCCAACAGTCAATGAAGTGCCTTTGCCTGCAGTATTGATTCCATCAGACACCCAGAAAGCATGATTTATAAATACTCAATGCCTTTTTCTATTCTTAGGCGAATGGAATCTACAGTAAGTATAATGAAGATTAGACACTCATGAGACTTGGTGTCCAGGTAGACATATTACACATTTTAAGTGCTGATGATCAACTCAGAGCAGAAGTTTTGTGAAGTGATCCAAGGACATGCACTTGTCATCAGGATCACCCATATCACTTTTGTTTTACTCTCTTTTTTTTCCTTAAGCTCTTTTGGACTTGACCTATATAGCATTTAAAGATTTAAATTCCTGGCAGTGTGCTGTGGCTCACATGTGTAATCCCAGCACTTTGGGAGACTGAGAAAGGAGGATTGCTTGAGGCCAGGAGTTTGAGACCAGCCTGGGCAACATAGGGAAACCTTGTCTCCACCAAAAAAAAAAAAAAAAAAAAAAGAAAATAAAAAAGATTCAAATTCCTAAGCCCACTCTTTATCTACCAAATAAAAACTGGGGGGCAGTGAGAGGATGGAAGGAGCTGGAAGTTACACTCTTTATGTTCTACTTGCCTCTCCGCATTCACGCTTCTGTCTGTACTTGGTACCCAAGGGGCTGGTCTGTATGGACATGACTGAGCACCTTGCCTTCTGGCTTCCAGGTGTGTTCAGCAAAGTGGGAGACAGAGCAGGAGACAGGAGGGAGTGGGGAGAGTGAGTCTGGATATTTCTCTCTCCTCCCTGCACCTCTCCCTGCAGGTCATTTCTAGCTGGCTATTTCCCTCCTAAAGATTCTATCAAGGTAGTACTCTCTACAAGACTCCTTTTTTAATTGAGACAGAGTCTTGCTTTACTCTGGAGGCTGGAGTGCAGTGGCACCATCATGGCTTCTTGCAGCCTCCATCTCCTGGACCTAAGCTATCCTCCTGCCTCAGCCTCCCAAGTAGCTGGGACCACAGGCATGCACCACCATGCCTGGCTAGTTTTTCAAACCTTTTTTTTTTTTTTTTCCATAGAGATGAGGTCTCAGTATGTTGCCTAGACTGGTCTTGAACTCCTCCACTCAAGTGATCCTCCCACCTTGGCCTCCCAAAGTGCTGGGATTGCAGGCATGAGCTGCTGCACCCAGCCTACAGGACTCTTCTTTATCCTGGTGGCCACTTCCTTCCTTGTGCCTGTGGTCTTGGGGCTGTTAGCCCTCTGTTACTGCACTTTCTCTTACGGTTTTCTTACGCTCTGCTTGTGTCTTTAAAATAACCCCTTTATTAAATTCTCCTCAGATGACCTAATTTGTGTATGTCATCTCTTTGTACTTTCTGCTGGAATCCTGA